>NW_009646208.1:0-153027 GCF_000001405.40 Homo sapiens | reverse complement strand
GATCCTTTCTGAATTAATAAATTTATTACTTGTTTTTACTAAACTTATTTTGTTCAGCTTTTCAAGGAATGCCAGTTCACTCTACTGTTTTCAGGGTTTTTAAAAAATCAACTTGCTTTCAAAATCAAAATATTAGATTTTAACATTCCAGCATAAATCTTTTTATATAAATAAAACTTTTGTTGATGCTTTTGGTTTTTCATACGCCTATATTTAAGGGGTAAATCTTGAAAATATTACTAAGGAATTGGAATTGACATCTAATTATAGTAGTTGAGATAATATATTTATGTAATCCCTTTTAGAGAAGTTTAATAAATATTTTTCAACAGACAAAGCATTATCTCTACTTTATTTTTTTTTCTATATTTTGATACTAGCCCGTCCTGTATCTGTTGAAGAAGCTTTCTTAGTGATTCGTTAGGAAATTCTCTTTCTGGAACCCAGTGACAGTGCAACTCAAGTAGCGTCTCTACTAATGTGAAGTCACAACACTGATCATGTAGAACTCATGTATCTGATTTCATTAGCAAATTAGTAGATGGTGTAGGTTTCTAAGGAAGAGTGAACTAATGCATTCTCTTTGCTTTAGTTTACATTAAATCATTAGGGAATAGGGAAATAGGAAATTTTTTCTTTTGCCACTTATAAATGAATAAAGCCTTAGTTTTTGTTTTGTTGTTTTTTTCCTATGGCCCCCTGTCACTTGAAGGCCTTAGTTTTATAAACCAGTATTTTGCTTCTCTTATTGACCTGATTCAGTTTATTAGCCTTTTATTAAAATATATACTATATACTTCATAATATTTTATTTTTGTTAAACATTTGACTCTACTAAATTAAATATTTGAAAAAATCTCACTATAACAGTATTTTTATTCTAGAGTTAAAATGGTTGTATGAAAATAGTTATTTTTGTTAAAATAGTTTTATATATAGGGATAATTATATACGTTTAAAAATGCCAAGATTGTTACTCTAGTGTTTCAGTTAAAAAAGCTTTTAAAGGCTGGGCACCGTGGCTCACACCTGTAATCCCAACATTTTGGGAGGCCGAGGTGAGCAGCGGATCATGAGGTCAGGAAATTAAGACCATCCTGGCCAACAAGGTGAAGCCCCGTCTCTACTAAAAATACAAAAATTAGCTGGGCATGGTGGTGCGTGCCTGTAATCCCAGCTACTTGGGAGGCTGAGGCGGGAGAATCGCTTAAACCTGGGAGGTGGAGGTTGCAGTGAGTCGAGATGTGCCACTGCACTCCAGCCTGGCGACAGAGCTGGACTCAGTCTCCAAAGCTTTTAAAACTGTCTTGTGTGTGGATAAAGGTGATTTTTAAGAATATTTTATAAAATATTACCGAAGTTTATGTTTGTAGGTGTTAGCTCTCCCAAAGACTTCTTGAATAGTTGTTTCAGACGGGTTTAGGCCATAATTCTGAAAGAGACAGTTCTTTTTTTTATTTTTTTCTTTTTTTTTTTGAGATGGACTTTCGTTCTGTCGCCCAGGCTGGAGTGCAGTGGTGCTCGGCTCACTGCAACCTCTGTCTCTTGGGTTCAAGTGATTCTCCTGCCTGAGCCTCCCAAGTAGCTGGGATTATAGGTGCGTGCCACCACACCCGGCTAATTTTTTTGTATTTTTACAAAAAAAAATACAGGTAGAGACAGAGTTTCGCCATGTTGCCCAGGCTGGTCTTGAACTCCTGACCTCAGGTGATCTGCCCACCTTGGCAGGGTTTTGCCACGTTGGCCAGGCTGGTCTCAAACTCCCGACCTCAGGTGATCTGCCCACCTCAGCCTCCCGAAGTGCTGGGATTACAGGCATGAGCCACTGCGCCTGGCCTAAAAGACACAGTTCTTGATGCCATAATCCCAAATACTGAAATCCCAAAATATCGAAATCCAAACAATATAATTCTGGAAAAAATAATTTTAAAACATTATTTAAAAAATACTTATTTGGGCCAGGTGCGGTGGCTCACTCCTGTAATCCCAGCATGTTGAGAGGCCTAGGTGGGCAGATCACTTGAGCTCAGGAGTTTGAGACCAGCCTGGCCAACATGGCAAAACCCCGTCTCTACTAAAAATATAAAAATTATCTAGGCATGGTTGCAAGTGCCTGTAGTCCCCGCTACTCGGGATGCTGAGGCACGAGAATCACTTGAACATGGGAGGCGGAGGTTGCAGTGAGCTGAGATCATGCCACTGTACTCCAACCTGGGTGACAGAGTGAGATTCTGTCTCAAAAAAAAAAAAAAAAAAAAAAAAAAAAGACACTTGTTTGGCCAGGTACAGAGTCTCACACCTGTAATCTCAGTATTTTGGGAAGCCAAGGTGGGCAGATTGCTTGAGCCCAGGAGTTCAAGATCAGCCTGGGCAACGTGGAGAAACCCTGTCTCTACAAAAAAATACAAAAATTAGCAAGCTAGCGTGCACCTATAGTCCAGCTACTTGGGAGACTGAGGTGGGAGGATCTCTTGGGTCTGGGAGGCAGAGGTTGGAGTGAGCTGTGATGGCGCTGTCTGGGCAACAGAGCAAGACTTTGTCTTCAATAAACAAACAGAAAAACCACTTATTTACCTTTTTTAAAGGGGATTTATTTGAGAAACAAAAACATGACAACACTTCATAGGCCACTTAATATAGTTTGGATATGTGTCCCTGCCCAAATCTCATGTTGAATTGTAATCCCCAATATTGGAAGTGGAGGCTGGTAGGAGGTGATTGGATTATGTGGGTGGATTTTTCATGAATGGTTTAGTACCATCCCCTTGATGCTGTCCTCGAGACGGTGAGCGACTTCTCGCGAGATCTGGCTGTTTTAAAAGTGTGGCACCTCACACTCTCTCTTGCTCAGTCCTCATCATGTGATGTGCCTGTTCCCCCTTTGCCTTCTGCCATGATTGGAAGCTTCCTGAGGCCTTCCTGGAAGCAGGTGCCACTATGCCTCCTGTACAGCCTGCAGAACTGTAAGCCAATTAAATCTCTTTTCTTTTAAGTATTCCTTCATAGCAATGCAGGAACAGCCTAGTACACCACTTTACACAATAAAATAGTAACAAATGTATTTTGCAAGTTTAATCACTCAGTATACTAACCGTAGTTGCATGGGTGTTACATTTTGTAACTGTGGTCCTCTGAAATACCATGATGGACAAACTAGGTCTTTTGATGAGGTAGTAAAAACAAGGATGGGTCATCACTGTGTGTGCAGTCTCCTGAAGAGCAGAGATATTGTTGAATTTTATCTTTCACAAAAACAGTATAAAAAAAGGACATCTCATTGAAGGTTCACCTTTTTTTTTTTTTTTTTTTTTTGAGATGGAGTTTCACTGTTGTTGCTGAGGCTGAAGTGCAATGGTGTGGTCTCGGCTCACTGCAACCTTTGTCTCCTGGGTTCAGGCGATTTTCCTGCCTCAGCCTTCCAAGTAGCTGGGATTACAGGCGCCCCGCCACCACGCCTGGCTAATTTTTGTATTATTAATTTTTGTAGAGACAGGATTTCACCGTATTGGCCAGGCTGGCCTCGAACTCCTGACCTTGGGTGATCTGCCCGCCTTGGCCTCACAAGTGCTGGGATTACAGATGTGAGCCACCGTGCCTGGCCAGTTTCAACTTTTTTTAAAGAGACCATAGTCTTCTAGCTATGTTGCCCATGCTGGAGTGCAGTGACTATTCACAGGCATGATCATAGTGCACTTCAGCCTCAAACTCCTGGCCTCAAGTGATCCTCCTACCTCAGCCTCCCTAGTAGCCGGGACTGACTACAGGTGCTCCACCACACCTGGCTTCTACGTTTTGATGAACACAGCCAGAGCTTACACATGAAGTCAGTGTTGTGATAATGCACTTCTGTGGAGTTCAGTTTGCAAAAAAAAAATGCATAGAATTAATTAGAACTCTCCAAAAGTCTCTACACAATTTATATCTCCAGTATTAGAAATGATGTGAAGATAAAATATATAGCATAGCAAATTGGCACTATGTGTGAAGGAGCAGAAATAATACACCATTGAATAATTTGGCAGGGGAGATTTCTTGTATTTTTTGCCTGTATTTTCACTTCTGCGATCTTCAAAGCACTTGCTCCAGTTTTATTTGCAAAGTGGTTGTGATCCACAAATTTTGTAAGTATATACTGTCTATTTGAAAGCCTGATTATTGCCTGGCCGTTGCAATTTCTGCTTTTGCAGCACCAGTGATAATTAGCTTTTAAACTTTTATCTTTCGCCATTAAGTAGCCGTGTACACTTATCAGAGCCTTTTTGCGAGGGAAGAGTTTCACAGATCTCTTCAATTGTGCTGTAAAGAATAAAGTAAGAAGAACTGATACTCAGCTTCCCCAACACCAAATCTGCATTAGTCAGGGTTCCCTAGGGAGACAGAACCAATAGGATATGTGTATAGATATGAGGGAATTTATTAGGGGAATTGGCTCATATGATTAATGGTGGCTGAGAAGTCCCATGACAGATCATCTGCAGGCTTGAGACCCTGGGATGCCAGTAGCATACCTCAGTCCAAATCCAAAGGCCTCAGAACCAGGGAAGCTAATGGTGTTATCTCTCGGTCCAAGGTCAAAAAGCCTCAGAATTCAGGGGGCCACTGGTTAAGTCCTGGAGTCCAAAGGCTGGCAAGCCTGGAGTTCTGATGTCCAAGGCAGCAGAAGAAAAGTCTGTTCTAGCTCTCAGCAATTCACCTTCTGTGTACTCCCTGGGCTCCTGGCTGATTGGATGATACCCACCAACATAGAGGGCTCTCCTTGCCTACTCAGACTCGCACACTAATCTCTGAAAACATCCTCACAGACACACACACAACACAGTGCTTTACCAGGTTTCTAGGTGTTCCTGTCAAGTTGATAGCTAAAATTAAGTCCACAAATCTATCCTCGGCAACTTGGTACCCATAGGCATCTCCTTAAACCATACTTAATTTCCAGATAATGACAATAGCAAGGTCATAGTTCCACCTAGCATGGTGTAACTATTGTGTACAACCAAAACTATGCAAATTCCCTGCCCCAAAATTCGGCTTTTGGGATTTCATCATTTGGGATTTTAATCTTTTGGGGTTGTGGTTTTAAACATTAGGGATTTTTAGACTTTAGTCTTTTGGGATTTTAACATTCAGGATTATGGCATTTGGGATTATGATTGGTACTGATTGCAGACAGTTTTTGCTAAATCTAGTGTTTAGATATAGCAGCAAAATAATTTCTATGTATATTTAATCACTGATGTAGTAAATCAGTAGTTAATATTTACAGATCCCTTACCCAGTACCAGGCACAGTGCACGTTTTATATTCATTATTTAATTCTCTCAGAATAACCCAATAAAGTCAGTATTTTATCTGTAAAACGGGGATAAAGAAACAGACTGAAGAGAGATTCATTCATTTGGAAGAGGTTCCTCAGCCACCAAGTGATAGAGCCAGGGCTGGCATGCAACTCTATGTGGCTTCAAAACCTGTTTCTCCCTTTTAGTGTAAAATGTATACTTTGTAAAAATGTACACCATGTGGCTGCTGCTTTCTCCCCACACTGACAGGCTTTCCCTGCCCACCTGAGCCCAGGCAGCGCCCACATGAGTACGTGCTCTCTCCCTCAGCCCTGTTCTCCCTTCACAGCAATTATCTGACAGTCTTGTCTTGTATCTGTTTCCTTCACAAAATGTAAGCACCATGGGATGGAAACTTTGCCTACTCCATCCCTGTCTGCATCCATGTTTCCTAGAGTAGTGCCTGACACACAGTAGGAGCCAACATATTTGTTGTAAAGGCTATGAACCAGAAGGTTGTATCAGTCTACAATATTCACTTTTTAAGTCACTTCTGTAGAACAGACTATTAATTTTTTCTTTCTAGTTAGTGATTTTAAGTGAGGAAATTGAAGAGAGGTGTCTTGAAGAGATGCGGAGGAACCAGTCAAGTAGGAGACAGGTCAAGGCTTGTGGAAGTAGAGATTGGTAGTGGTTTAAATGAGCATGGTGCTGGACCTGCCTGAGCTCTTGTAGCTTCGTGAATAGTAACCTTTCTTCCCCAGTCCCTGGTCTAGTGTCTTCCCAACTACTGCCAGAAAATCTTCTGAAAGGTAGCTCTTGTCGTATCCTTTTCATTTGTGTACTGAGTTAAATTTAGACACCTTGCCTTGGTCTTCAGGGTTCCATGGTAGGACCCTGCCCTGCCTCTCTAACCACATCTCCTGGTTTCCCCAGTTGTATCCTCTGCTGCAGCTCGGTGTCCCCAGAGGTGCCTTTATTTCCAGGTCTGGGTCCGTGTCCTCTTTTCTGTTCTCCATCTTATCTTTTTTTTTTTTTTTTTTGAGATGGAGTCTCGCTCTATCACCCAGGCTGGAGTGCAGTGGCACCATCTCGGCTCACTGCAAGCTCCGCCTCCCGGGTTCATGCCATTCTCCTGCCTCAGCCTCCTGAGTAGCTGGGATTACAGGCGCCTGCCACCACGCCAAGCAAATTCTTATATTTTTAGTAGAGATGGGATTTCACCATGTTGACCAGGCTGGTCTCTAACTCCTGACCTCAGGTGATCCACCTGCCTCGGCCTCCCAAAGTGCTGGGATCACAGGTATGAGCCACCGCGTGCAGCCTGTTCTCCATCTTTTGAGATAGTTATATTTCAAGGCCTTTCTCAAATGTTACTTTTCTCCATGAAATCTAACATTCCCTTAACTGGATGTTTCCTTCATGACGTTTGTAATTTTCTGGTGCACCTTTAATCTTTGCTTTTTGCTTTTTATTATACCTTTCTTTTTTCCTTTTTTTTTTTTTTTTAATTTTTTGAGACAGAGTCTTGCTCTGTCCCCCAGGCTGGAGTGCAGTGGCGCAATCTCGGCTCACTGCAACCCCTGCTTCCCAGGTTCAAGCAGTTCTCCTGCATCAGCCTCCCAAGTAGCTGGGATTACAGGCACCCGCCACCACGCCTGGCTAATTTTTGTATTTTTGGTAGAGATGGCGTTTCACCATGTTGGCCAGGCTGGTCTCAAACTCCTGACCTCGTGATCTGCCTGCCTCAGCCTCCCAAAATGCTGGGATTACAGGCGTGAGCCACCGTGCCCAGCCTATTATACCTTTCTAAATGTGTTCTTGCCCTCCTTCCCCAGTCCTCCCTGAGGGCAAGATTATGGTATTGGCACTTGCCGTATCCTCTACGGTGCATTGAACACATGAACAAGCAATCATTTTAGAGGTAGAGAAAAACACGTACGAGAAAAAGGCAAACAATGGTATTTAGTTTTGGTGTAGGGAAGACTTGTCCTTTTCCAAGGATTAGTTTTGGTGGTCAGGAAGCTTTTTGAAGCCAGGAGAAACAATGTAGGTAAAGAATTAAGTATATTGAGGCCAGGCCTGGTGACTCATGCCTGTATCCCAGCACTTTGGGAGGCCGAGGCGGATGGGTCACTTGAGGTGAGGTAAAGAGTTTAAGACCAGCCTGGCCAACATGGCGAAACCCTGTCTCTACCAAAAATACGAAAGTTAGCTGGGCGTGGTGGCATGCGCCTGTAACGCCAGCTACACGGAGGCTGAGGTAAGAGAATCACTTGAACCTGGTAGGTGGAGGTTGCAGTGAGCCAAGATCACACCAGTGCACTCCAGCCTGGGTGACAGAGTGAGACTCCATCTCAGAAAAAAAAGAAAAAAGAAAAAGAATTAAGCAAATTGGGTCTAGTATTTTAGAGTAGAAGAAAAGAAACCAAATGGGGAAACGACTGAGAAGCACCATTTTTCAGAGTTTGGGGATGAGTCCTAGTACTTGTCCTCAGGGTGTTCAACAGTATTGTGTGGGAAACAGACAACTAGATCATTGATAATACGTTGTAAAAATTTGACCATAGAGCTGGCTGTGGTGGCTCATGCCTGTAATTCCATCTATTCAGGGGCTGAGGTGGGAGGATTGCTTGAGGCGAGGAGTTGGAGACCAGTCTGGGCAACGTAGTGAGACCTTCTCTCCAAAAAATACATAAATAAAATTTAAAAATAAAATTGGCCATAGAGAGGGAAAGGCGCTAGAAAACATTGGTTAATTCTACCAAAGCTTAGTAAGAGCTAGTGATCTTAGCAAAATTGAGGTCCTGAGCAGGTGGGCAGAAAGGTTGACATCGCGCTGGAGGAAGCTGTCTTAGGGTGAATACATGAATTGTCTTGACCCCCTTAAAAGGGCATTGCAGAAGGTATCACAATATTTTAGGAAGATGATGGTGAAAGGTTAGTTTTTAGTACTAGGACTCAGTTCTTAAGGGAGAAGTAGGTCAGTGTTCAAAGAAACAATATTTAATTTAGTGTTAGAAACCTCCCAGATAGCATCTTGTTCTTCCACGTTTCATGTTTTTGCAGGGCCGAGATGAGTAGCCATGGGAATGAGACAGGAGTAAAGGAGGCTGGACACAGTAGTTGACGCCTACAATGGGATGCTAGGTGGGAGGATCACTTGAACCCAGGTGTTGGAGACCAGCCTGGGCAGCATAGTGAGACCTCGTCTCTACAAAATTAAAAATAGCCGGGCATAGTGGTGCATGCCTGTAGTCCCAGCTACAAAGAGAAAAAAAGGAGTAAGGGAGATAACTAAAGGGGAAGACTATGTAATGAATTACTTGCTCTTGCATGTCCTAGGTTCTTCTCAGTTACACCTTTTTAGAGATTTTTTTTCTTTTTCTTTTTCTCTTCTGAGACAGGATCCGGCTCTGTTGCCCAGGCTGGAGTGCAGTGGCATGATCACGGCTCACTGCAATCTCCGCCTCCCAGGCTGAAGCAAATCTTGTGCCTCAACCACCCCAGTAGCTAGGATTACAGGTGCGCACCACCATGCCCAGCTGATTTTGGTATTTTTTTTTGTAGAGATGGGGTTTCGCCATGTTGTCCAGGCTGGTCTTGAACTCCTGAACTCAAGTGATCCTCCTGCCTCAGCCTCCCAAAGTGTTGGGATTACAGGTGTGAGCCACTGCGCCCAGCCAGATTTTTTTAAATTGATATGAAATTCACGTGACAAAATTAATCATTTTTAAGCGAACACTCGAGTGGCGTTTGCTGCATTCACAATGTGTGCACCCATAACAACCTGTATCTAGTCCCAAAGTAAACCTGCTACCCATTAAGCAGTTACTCCCCTTGCCCTCTTCTGCCAGTCCTTTGCAACCACCGATCTGCTTTCTGTTTTTAGATTTACTTCTTTTGGATATTTCATTAGATGGAATCGTACAATATGTGACCTTTCATGTCTGACTTCTTTCACTTAGCGCGTAGTGTTTTGAGATTTATCTACATTGTATTGTGTATGAGTACTTCATTCCTTTTCATGGCTGAATACATACTCAGTTTTATGTATATACCACAATCTGTTCATCCGTTCATCTGTTGATGGACATTTCGGTTGTTTCCACCTTTTGGCTATTTTGAATAGTGCTGCTATGAACATGTGTGTATATCTATTTGTTTGGATACCTGTTTTCACTTATTTTGAGTATATACCTAGGAATGGAGTTGCTGGATCGTGTAATTCTGTATTCAACTTTTTGAAGAACCACCAGACTTTTTCACAGTGGCTGAATATTTTATATTCCCATGTGTGGCCCAGGCTGGAGGGCAGTGGCATGATCGTGGATCACTACAGGCTTCACTCACTGGGCTCGAGTGATTCTCTTGCTTCAGCCTCCCAAATAGCTGGGATTACAGGTATGTGCCACCATACCTGTCTAATTTTTGTATTTTTATAGACAGGGTCTCACCATGGTTGGCCAGGCTGGTCTCCTAACTCCTGGCTTCAAGTGATCCAGTGTGCCTGGCCCCCACCAGCAATATGTGAGGGTTCCAGTCTCTCCACATCATCACCAACACTTGTAATTTTTTGTTTTCTTTCCTATAGCCATACCTATGGGTATGAAGTGCTGTGTCATTGTGGTTCATTTTTCCTGATACATTAACTTTTTAAGAGAAATGTTAGTAGACTTTATTGCTTAGAGCAGTTTTAGGTTTACAGAAAAAATGAGCAATAAGAGAGTTCCTGTTTACCCTCCCTCAATCCAACCATAGGTTCCACTATTACTAATATCTCATATTAGTGTGGTGCATTTGCTACACTTGATATACAGTATTGATATTTTATTATTAACTCAAGTCCAGTTCATATTTGACCTTTTTTTGTTTGTTTTTGAGAGGGAGTCTTGCTCTGTTGCCCAGGCTGGAGTGCAGTGGTGTGATCTCAGCTCACTGCAACCTCCACCTCCAGGGTTCAAGCGATTCTCCTGCCTCAGCCTTCTGAGTAGCTGGGATTACAGGCACCCACCACCATGCCTGCTAATTTTTATATTTTTAGTAGAGACAGGGTTTCACCGTGTTGGCCAGGCTGGTCTCAAATTTCTGACGTCAAGTGATCAGTCCACCTCAGCCTCCCAAAGTGCTGGGATTACAGGCGTGAGCCATCATGCCTGACTTTTTTTTTTTTTTTTTTTTTTTTTTTTTGAGACAGTGTCTTGCTCTGCCAGCCAGTGCAGTGGTACAATCATAGCTCGCAGTAACCTTGAGCTGCTGGATTCAGGTGAGATTACAGGTGCTAGCCACAGCAACTGACTTGAGTTCATTCTTTGTTGTATATTCTGTGGGTTTGGACAAATGCATAATGTCTTACATCTGCTAATACAGTATTATACAGAATTGTTTCACTATCCCAGGAGTCACCTGTACTCTCTCCGTATTCATCCTTCCCCCTCTTCCCTTGGATCCTTGGTAATCATTGATCTTCCTACTGACTTTACAGTTTGGTGTTTTCCAGAATATTATATAGCTAAAGTCATGTAGCCACTTCAGATTCATGTCTTTCACTTAGCAATAATCATTTAAGGTTCCTGCATGTCTTTTTTCTTTTTTTGAGACAGAGTCTTGCTCTGTCACCCAAGCTGAAGTGCAGTGGTGCGATCTCCACTCACTGCAACCTCTGCCTCCTGGGTTCAAGTGATTCTCCTGCCTCAGTCTCCCGTGTAGCTGGGATTACAGGTGCCCACCACCACCCTTGGCCAAGTTTTGTATTTTTAGTAGAGATGGGGTTTCACCATGTTGGCCAGGCTGGTCTTGAACTCCTGACCTCAGGTGATCCGCGTGCCTCAGCCTCCCAAAGTGCTGGGATTATAGGTGTGAGCCACCTCGCCTGGCCGGGTAGAGAGATCTTCACAGTTGAAAATACCTCTTCTAAATCCTTGACTTTGAGCTCCTCACGTGCTGAGAGTGTTGTAAGTTCGTCTATATAGTATACCCTATGATAACCCCTAATATGACCACAATAGATATTTAATTGTGGTGGTACTATACTTACAGAACAGGTTCATGTTATTTTTGGAAGACATTCTAGATAATAGAGACCATCTGTTTTGTATTCACCAAGATTCTTGATTCTTTGGTGATATCTCTTATTTGTTCTGGAAAATTCCCAATACTTCTCCTCACTTACTGCCTTGCCTCCATTCCCTTCTCATTCTAAGAGTCCACCCATACAGGGATACATTCAACCTTGTAGTCACCCTTTCTTTTCTGTTTTTTTTTTTTTTTTTTTTTTTTTGAGGCGAAGTCTCGCTCTGTCGCCCAGGCTGGAGTGCGGTGGTGCGATTTCGGCTCACTGCAACCTCCGCCTCCTGGGTTCAAGTGATTCTTCTGCCTCGGCCTCCCGAGTAGCTGGGACTTACAGGCACTTATTACCACGCCTGGCTAATTTTTTGTATTTTTAGTAGACACGGGGTTTCACTGTGTTAGCCAGGATGGTCTCGATCTCCTGACTTCCTGATCTGCCCGCCTAAGCCTCCTAAAGTGCTGGGATTAAATGGCATCCATTACAAGTGTTTTTTTTCTTTTCTATTTTTCATTCTGGGTAGATTACTTTGACCTGTTTTCAGTTAATCAGTCTTCTCTTTGACTAATCTGCGTTTTTTTGAGACAAGAGTCTCACTCTTTCGCCCAGGCTGGGGTGCAGTGCAGTGGCACGATCTTGGCTCTCACTGCACCCTCTGCCTCCTGGGTTCAAGCAGTTCTTGTGCCTTAACCTCTCGAGTAGCTGGGACCACAGGTGTGTGCCCCTACACCTGGCCAATTTTTGTACTTTTAGTAGAGATGGAGTTTCACCATGATGGCCAAGCTGGTCTTCAACTCCTGGCCTCAAGTGAGCCACCTGCCCCAGCCTCCCAAAGTGCTGGAATTACAAGTATGAGCCACCGCGCCAGCCGATTAATCTGCTTTTAATTTAATAACTCAATGGATAGTTCTTACCAATATCTTACTGTATTTTTCAGTTGTGATTCTTTTCAAGTCTGCTACATTGTTTTTTATGGATTCCTGTTCCCTGCTAAATTTTTCAAACTTCGCTTTTATTTCCTAGAACATACTAAATATAATTCTTTTATAGTCTCCTGATATCTCCAGTATTTGGAGTTCCTTTGGATCTATAACTGCCTCTCATGGTTCTTACTCATGGTACTTTGTTCATATGTTTGTGTGCTGGACATGGTATTTGAAAAATTGTTTATAGAAATAATTAGAGGCTTTGGGTGTGATGTCTTTTTCCAGGTGACTGACGGCACTAGCCAACGAGGATCATTTTAATACAAGTTGAAGCCCAGGCGCGCTGGCTAAGGCCTGTAATCCCAGAGCACTTTGGGAGACTGAGGCAGGCAGATCAGCTGAGGTCAGGAGTTCGAGACCAGCCTGGCCAACATGGTGAAACCCCCTCCTTACTAAAAATACAGAAATTAGCCGGGCGTGATGGCGGGTGCTTGTAATCCCAGCTACTTGGGAGGCTGAGGCAGGAGAGTCGTATGAACCCGGGAGGCGGAGGTCGCAGTGAACTGAGATGGCGCCACTGCACTCCAGCCTGGGGGGGACAGAGCAAGACTCTGTCTCAGAAAAAAAAAAAAGTTGAAGATTTGAGTTTTTTATGGACTATCCAGATGGTTTGAAGCTGAGTCCATGGGAGGGCTTATTTACTTCTACTTCAGTCTTACTCCTAGGATGCAGCCCTATGGGGCCTCAGTTCACAGGTTCGCTGGGGTGAGGAGCGCGTTACTGAGTTATGAGTTATAAGTTATCTCCTATGCAAGGCCTTGGAGTGAGCCAGGCACTTTCTGGGCCTCCACTGGCAAATCAACAAATGCCCCCAGGTCTTGCCTCTTTCTTTGGATTTCCATCTTTTTCAGGATATTAATTTGGTAATATCTCACTATCTTGTTAGATTTTTGTTACTTTTGGAAAGATGTATATATATTGTATCCAGTTTTTTGTGCAGTTATTTAGTCTGTATTACTGTAAACAGAAAACAAGGTCTTATTTTCATGGACTCATGTTATTCTAACATTAACCTTGAAACAAGTGACCATATGGTGAGTGATACTATTATACTGTATTATTGTTTATGTCTCTGTGTGACACTGTTAAGATGCCTGAATTGTTTGGGTAAACCAGGTGGTATTGGTTGGTGGGTGCTTTAAGACTCACTATCTAGAGCATGATCTCTGCAGCCAGTCGCCTGATTTTTGAATCCCAGCTCTGCCCCTTGTTTGCAATGTGACGTCAAGCAAATGACTATTCTGCCTCTGTTTCGTTGTCTAGAAAATGGAAATAATAATTGTACCTACCTCGTGGGTGGCTGTGCCAGTTAAATTAGTTCATAACTAAAGCTTTTAGAACATTGCCAGACTTACAGTAATGATTAGATAAATTTTAGCTATTATTATTACCACCTAGAAGCTTTGGAAATACAGGGATACCTCATTTTATTGCATTCTACTTTATTGTACTTCACAGATATTGTGGGATTTTTTTGTTTTATAAATTGAAGGTTTATTGCAACCCTGCATTGAGCAAGTCTAAGTCTGTTGGTGCCAATTTTTCAACAGCATGTGCTCACTTTGTGTCTTTGTGCCACATTTTGGTAATTCTCCCAATATTTTAAACATTTTATTCATTTTATTTTATTTATTTTTGAGTCGGAGTCTCGCTCTGTCTCCCAGAGCTGCACTGGAGTGAAGTGGCGCCATCTCGGCTCACTACAACCTCCACCTCCTGGGTTCTAGCGATTCTCCCCCTCAGCCTCGTGAGTAGCTGGGATTACAGGTGTGCACCACCATGCCCGGCTAATATTTTTATTTTTAGTAGAGGTGGGGTTTCACTGTGTTGGCCAGACTGGTCTGGAACTCCTAACCTGAAGTGATCTGCCTGCCTCAGCCTCCCAAAGTGCTGGGATTACAGGCATGAGCCACCACACCTGGCCTGAATATTTTAAACTTTTTTTTTTTTTCTGAGAGAGATTTTCACTCTTGTTCCCCAGGCTGGAGTGCAATGGCGTGATTTTGGCTCACTGCAATCTCCGCCTCCGGGGTTCAAGTGATTCTCCTGCCTTAGCCTCCCGAGTAGCTGGGATTACAGGCATGCGCCATCACGCCCTGCTAATTTTGTATTTTTAGTAGAGACGGGGTTTCTCCGTATTGGCTAGGCTGGTCTCGAACTCCTGTTCTCAGATGATCCACCCGCTTCGGCCTCCCAAAGTGCTGGGATTACAGGCATGAGCCACCGCGCCCAGCCTTAAACTTTTAAAATTGTTATCTGTCATGAAGATCTGTGATCAGTGATCATCGATGTTACTTTTTTTTTTCTTTTTTGAGATGGAGTCTCGCTCTGTCGCCCAGGCTGGAGTGCAGTGGTGCGATTTCGGCTCACTGCAAGCTCTGCCTGCCGCGTTCACGCCATTCTCCTGCGTCAGCCTCCCGAGTAGCTGGGACTACAGGTGCCCGCCATCACACCTGGCTAATTTTTTTGTATTTTTAGTAGAGACAGGGTTTCACCGTGTTAGCCAGGTTGGTCTCAATCTCCTGACCTCATGATCCACCCACCTCGGCCTCCCAAAGTGCTGGGATTACAGGCGTGAGCCACCGCGCCCGGCCTGATGTTACTTTTGTAATTGTTTTGGAGCGCCACAAAGCACTCCCATATAAGACGGCGAACTTAATATATACATGTTGTGTATAGATGTGTGTTCAGACTGCTGCCAACTGGGTGTCCCCCCATCTCACCACCTCCTCAGGTCTCTCTGTTACCTCAGACACAACAGTATTGAAGTTAGGTCAGTTAATAACCTGATCATGACCATTAAATGTTCAAGTGACAGGAAGAATTGCACATCTCTCACTTTTAAATCAGAAGCTAGAAATGATGGTTTAGTGAGGAAGGCATGTCAAAAGCCAAGATAGGCTGAATACTAGGCCTATTGCACCAAACGTGGCCAAGTTATGAATGCAAGAAAAGGTTCTTGAAGAAAGTTAAAAGTACAACTCCAGTGAACACATGAATGAGAAGAAAACGAAACAGCTTATTGCTGATATGGAAAAGTTTTAGTGACTCAGATGGAAAATCAACCAGCCGCAACATTCCCTTAAGCCAGAGCCTAATCCCAGAGCAAGACTTTCTCTTTTCACTTCTGTGAAGGCTGAAAAAAGTAAGAAGCTGCAGAAGTGAAGTTTGAAGCTAGCACAGATTGGTTCCTAAAGTTCTTGAAACCATCTCTGTAACATTAAAATGCAAGTTGAAGCAAGTGCTAATGTAGAAGCTGCAGCAAGTTATCTAGAAGATGTAGCCAAGATCACTGATGAAGGTGGCTATATTGAACAGATATTCAGTGTAGCCTTATGTCAGAAAAGATGCCATCTAGGACTTCCATAATTAGGAGAAGTCAGTGCCTGGCTTCAAAAGACAGGCTGACTGTTATTAGGAGCTGGTGTAGCTGGTGAATTTAGGTTGATGCCAGTGCTCATTTACCATTCTAATAATTCTAGGGCCCATAAATTTATGCTAAATCTACTCTGCCTGTGCTCTGTCAGTGGATCAACAAAACCTAGATGACAGCACATCTGTTTACAGAATGGTTTAATGAATATTTTAAGGCCACTGTTGAGACCTACTACTCAAAAGATTTCTTTCAGAATATTACTTCTTGACAGTATACCTGGTCACCTAAGAGCTCTGATGGAAATGTATAAGGAGATAAATGTTGTTTTCATGCTTGCTAACACAACATCTATTCTGCAGCCCCTGGATCAAGGAATCATTTTGATTTTCAAGTCTTATTTAAGAAATATGTTTCATAAGGCTCTAGCTGCTATACATAATAATTCCTCTAGTGGGTCTGGGCAGAGTGAATTGAAAACCTTTCGGAAAGGATTTACCATTCTAAATGCCATTAAGAACATTTGTGATTCATGGGAGGAGGTCAGTACATGAACAGGAGTTTGGAAGATGATTCCAGCCCTCATGGATGACTTTGAGGGGTTCAGGACTTCAGTGGAGGCAGGAACTGCAGATGTGGTAGAAATAGCAAGAGAACTCGAATTAAAAGTGGAGCCTGGAGATGTGACTGGATTGCTGTAATCTCATGATAAAACTTGAACAGATGAGGAGTTGCTGCTTATGGATGAGCAAAGAAAGTGATTTATTGAGATGGAATCTACTCCTGATGAAGATGCTGTGAACATTGTTGAAATGCCAATGAAAGATTTAGAATATTACATAAACGTAGTTGATTAAGCAGTGGCGGGGTTGAAGAGAACTGACTGCAGTTTTGAAAGAAGTTCCACTGTGGGTAAAATGCTATCAAACAGTTTGGCATGCTATAGAAAAATCTCTTAGAAAAGGAAGAGCCAGTCGATGCGTCAGACTTCATGGGTGTGTTATTTGAAGAAATTTGCCACAGCCACCTCAGCCTTCAGCAACCACCACCCTAATTAGTCAGCAGCCATCAACATGGAGGCAAGACCCTCCGTCAGCAAAAAGATTAGGACTCCCTGAAGGCTCAGATGATTGTTAGCATTTTTTAACGATAAAGTATTTTTTAAATTAAGGTATGAACATTGTCTTTTAGACATAATACCATTTCACACTTAGTAGACTGAAGTATAGCGTACACATATAAAAGTTAATATGTGCTGGAAAACCAGAAAATTTGTGTGACTCGCTTTATTGCCACGGTCTGGAACCAGACCCACAATACCTGCAATGTTATGCTTGTGGCTGATTTTTCATAGAATGTTTGTGTCTCTTTGACTTTTTTATTTTCAAAATTTAGGATTGCAGGTGACTCTCCATTGGCTTATTTCAGAATGACTGGGGTTAGGGTGTTTGCTAATTGCATGCCAGTGGTCAGGGAAGAAGGGAAAACTCTTGCACTTTAGAGGCCATCTGCCTCCAAGTAGAGCTCCAACTGTCAGGCCACTGTCCCTCTGTGGGGAGGGTGGGGATTGGTCCTGTGGCTTGTAGTTCTTGCCATATAGATTAAGAATGCGCTCCGTCGGCATTCTTCATTGTGAATTAGAGGATTGATGAGGATTTAACCCTGCTGTGATTTCTATGAATGGACTGTAGATCCCAGGGTGTGGGATCTTTCCTAACTCGAGAATGACAAAAATTACCTGTCACAGAGTGCTGTTACACCAATCAGTAGTTATTTATTGTGTTTTTTAGGGTTTATTTTGTTTGTTTGATAACCTCTTTTCCATTTTTTTCCTTGTTGTCTTTTACTTGTTTTTTTGTTTTTGTTTTTGTTTGTTTTTTTGAAGTGGAATCTCACTGTCACCCAGGCTGGAGTGTGCAGTGGTGAGATCTCGGCTCACTGCAACCTCTGCTTCCTGGGTGTACAAGCAAGTGATTCTCGGATTACAGGTGCCTGCCACCATGCCCAGCTAATTTTTGTATTTTTGGTAGAGACAGGGTTTCACCATGTTGGCCAGGCTGATCTTGAACTCCTGACCTCAAGTGATCTGCCTGCCTCGGCCTCCCAAAGTGCTGGGATTATAGGCGTGAGCCACCATGTCTGGTGTCTTTTACTTATTTTATTATTGGTTCAAGTTTTTACCTGAGAGAGGGAAAGAGGGTGGTAATTCTAACAGTGATAATTTTGATTTATATGGTACTTAGCTGTTTGCAGACTTACTGTGGGACATTCCCGTGTGGTGGCAAGGTAGGTTAACTCCACTTTTGCAGGTGAAGAATGTGAGACATATGGGTTAAATAACTTGCCCAAGTCACAGAACAAGTGGCAAGACTAGGAAGTATTTAGATTTCTTAATTCTAAATGTAGTACTTTTTCCAACAGATGACCCAGAAGAATCAATAGAAAACAAATTTAATAGTGGAAGCAATTGTATGTACAAATAAAATTGTATTTTTTGTTCACTTCGCTTACTAAAATAAAATCCTATTTCTAGATGATTTTCTAAACATGTTTTTCTTGGTCTCTTTGTTCAAGTCATTTAGTTTGACTCTAGGTAAGATAGTACTACTCAATGTTCTTTCTGTCACTTCAGGAGAGAGATGGTGTGCACCAGTTGATACCCAATGTTCCCTTGTTCTTCTCCCTGATATTACATCAGAGAAGTCCCCAGTTGAGAAGGGAGGAGGAAAGTTTTATGGTTACTGTTCCTCAAATCTCTTGGGAAAGACAGCAAACTGCTGTCAGGAGTAGTTTTCTTTTGTCTCAGTGTCTGTTACATTTATACATGGCACCCTCCTTATCATAGTTATGGCTTGCACCCTAAAATAAGGTCTAGAGCGACAGACATTTACAAAGTTCTTTTTTTTTTTTTTTTTGAGACAGAGTCTCATTCTGTTGGCCAGACTGGAGTGCAGTGGCACGATCTCGGCTCACTGCAACTTCTGTCTCCTGGGCTCAAGCAATTCTCCTGCCTCAGCCTCCCGAGTATGTGGGACTACAGGCATGCGCCACTATGCCTGGCTAATTCTTGTATTTTTTTTAGTAGAGGTGGGGTTTCACCATGTTGGCCAGGCTTGTCTTGAACTCCTGACCTCGTGATCCGCCTGCCCTGCCCTCCAAAAGTTCTGGGATTTACAGGCGTGAGCCACTGCACCCGGCACAAAGTTCTTATGCTACCGAAATGATCTTTTTGTTCTTCTGACCCTAATTATTAGGTTTTCTGACCCTAAATTAATTTGCTAATTCTTGATGCTCTTCTTGGATACTTAGATGTAACTATTTCACCTTAGTTTGGAGTTAGCATTTTGATGTTTTTAATATATTTGAAATAATCCTGCAAACTATTTTTTGGTTTGGGCTTTTAAGTGGGACGCTCAATCTTCAGAAGGACTTTTAGCTTATGGACACTTAAAAAAAGCAAGAACTAGCACATTGTTTCTTGGTATTTTGGAATTGTGGTGAGTTTGAGGCAACCGTGGAAGTGTAGAGTGTGTTGACTCACCTCCGCTCCTCCTAACTCCTGTGTTCATTTCACAGGAATTAATCGTCCAGACAATATTCCTCCCATGCCTGCATCCCCAGCCATATGGAGAGGACCCCATAAACTGTAAAAAGGTTCATTGGCTTTTATCTGGAGGGGACTAAACCCATAGAACTCGGTTCTGCTTTTTGCTTCATTTGACAGGTTGACCTATGGTGTTGGTACGTCCAGTAAAATCAAGTCTAAATGCTTTGGTTGACTGCATTTCTCATTGCTTTGCTCAGGAAGGCCAAGGACACATTAAAATCTGTTTGTCCCCTCCTATATTTTCTTTCTAAGGTTGTTAGCCAGCACTTTTGTTTTACAGTGTGTTTTTGTTTGGACTCGACTTCTGCTCGTAAATTAGGATGTGGTCAGTTAAGAGCATTTTGAATTTTAAACGTGTCTGTTTCACTGGTTTTGTGTCTCCATGTTTATGTATAGGGAAAGTAAGTTTTCATGTTTTTACATTTTGTTTGTACTAAACTTAAGTGCTTTCTTTCAAGGGCTAGAGGCATTGAAAGTAATTTTAAAAACTCTAAAGAAACCTTTTTATTCTCATTGCTTACATTTTTAATAACAAGTTAGGTAGCTTTTATTCTTCAGAAGTGGGATTTATTATGTAAAGCCACTTTTTGGAAGAGGTGAAAATTAACCTGCCTTTCCTTATGCCTCAGTGAGAGGTGAGGTTCAGAGCAGAGAATGCAGGTAGGGATTATGGAAACCCTTTCTTGGTATTAATTTTCCTCACAGATTAAAACTTTTGGTCTTCATCTGTTACCTTTACATTTGTCAGAAAGAGAATTTATATTGTCAACTTAATTCACCCAGTGTTCGATTGCTTGCTCTGTGCGTGGCAGTAAGAGAACTAAGGTCCCACGCTGTGGGGGAAATAGAAGGGTAGATAACTCTGGTAATGCTTATCATGGCTTGTGTTCTAGGAAGGTGTTAAGGGAAAAGTGCGATTTGCACTGGACTTGAAAGGTGAGTGGTATGTCAGCAAAGCTGGTATTATTCACGCAGAAGGACCAGGCTGAACAAACGAAAAGGTGCAGAAGGTGCCTGCTGGGTGTGCTGGGAATACACAGAACATTGCTAAGAACAGTAGAAGTTAGGGCACATTCCTTGTTAGTCCCAGCCTGTCTTCCTTACTGACTGGCTGTATAACCTTATGAGAGTTACTAAACTTTCTGAGCCTTTGTTTCCTCATCTGCAGAATGGCTAGTTACTGCATAATAGAGTTAAGATTAAATGAGACTATAATATATTGCATTGCAGCTGGGTGTGATGGCTCACACCTGTAATCCTAGCACTTTGGGAGGCCGAGGCAGGTGGATGACTTCAGGTCAGGAGTCCGAGACCAGTCTGGCCAACATGGTTAAAACCTCGCCTCTACTAAAAATACAAAAATTAGCCGGGTATTGTGGCACAAGCCTGTAATCTCAGCTACTTGGGAGACTGAGGCAGGAGAATTGCTTGAACCAGGGAGGCAGAGGTTGCACTGAGCCGAGATTGCACCAGTGCACTCCAGCCTGGACGACAGAGGGAGACTCTGTCTCAAAACAAACAAAAAATATTGCATTGCACATAATTTAAACACTCAATAAAAGTAGTTGCAATTATTGTTTTCTTTTAAATTTTATTTGTTTTAAAATTAGCATGTTGGTCAAACTAGTTTTTTTTTTTTTTTTTCTTTTTGGAGACGGAGTCTTGCTCTGTTGCCCAGGCTGGAGCGCAGTGGCACGATCTAGGCTCACTGCAAGCTCCGCCTCCCGGGTTGCTGGGACCACAGGTGCCCGCCACCACGCCGTGCTAATTTTTTTGTATTTTTTTTAGTAGAGATGGGGTTTCACCGTGTTAGACAGGATGGTCTCGATCTCCTGACCTCGTGATCCGCCCGCCTCGACCTCCCAAAGTGCTGGGATTACGGGCGTGAGCCACTGCGCCCGGCCGATCGAACTAGTTGCTGAAAGATGACTATGCCCTGTAATCCCACCCCCAAAACATCTGTTGTCAGCAGTTGAATGAATATCAGTCGTCTTTCTAATTTTCATCTCTGGCACCTTTGGTGCTGGTGGTACGTTGTTTTTTTTTTGTTTTGGTACAATCATGCCTCAGTTAACAACAGAATATTTCTAAGAAGTGCATCATTGAGTGATTTTTGTCGTTGTTCTAACATCTTAGGATGTACTTACACACACCTAGCCTGGGTGTAGCCGACTGCCCATCTAGGCTATGTGGTATAGCCTATTGCTCCTAGGATACAAACCTGTACCGCATGTTACTGTACTGAATGCTGTAGGAGATTGTAAAAGAGTGGTAAGTATGTATCTGCATATGTCTAAACATAGAGAAGGTACAGTAAAAATAAGGTATAAAAGATAAGGAAGTTGTTCTGGGTGAGTCAGTGAGTGAATGGTGAATGAAGGTAAAGGCCCAGGACGTTACTGCACACTACTGTAGATGTATAAACACTGTACATTTGGACTACACTAAATTTATTTTTTAAAGTTTTCTTGTTTTGATATTATTAACCTTAGATTACTGTAACTTTTTTTTTTTTTTTTTTGAGACGGAGTCTCTCTCTGTCGCCCAGGCTGGAGTGCGGTGGCTTGATCTTGGCTCACTGCAAGCTCCGCCTCCCGGGTTCACGTCATTCTTCTGCCTCAGCCTCTCGAGTAGCTGGGACTACAGGTGCCCGCCACCACACCTGGCTAATTTTTTGTATTTTTAGTAGAGACGGGGTTTCACCGTATTAGCCAGGATGGTCTTGATCTGCTGACCTTGTGATCCACCCGCCTGGGCCTCTCAAAATGCTGGGATTACAGGCATGAGCCACCAGTCCCTGGCCAGATTACTGTAACTTTTTTACTTTAAAAACTTTAAAAATTTGTAACCTTTTGACTCTTGTAATAACACTTAGCTTAAACCACAAATACATTGTGCAGCTGTTCAAAAATATTTTCTGTCATTGTGTTATTCTATAAACTTTTTTATGATTATTATTAATTACTCTTAGAGATAAGGTCTTACTCTGTTCCAGGCTGGAGTGCAGTGGCACAGTCATAGCTCCCTGTAACCTCAAACTCCTGGGCTCAAGCAACCCTCACTTAAGCCTCCTGAGTAGCTAGGACTACAGGTGCATACCACCGTGCTTGGCTACGTTTTTTTAGTTTTTATAGAGCTGGAGTCATGCTATGTTGCCCAGGCTGGTCTCAAACTCCTGGCATCAAGCAATCCTTTCTCCTCTGCCTCCCAAAAGTTCTGGAATTGTAGGTGTGAGCCACCAGGCCTAGCCACTTTATAAGCTTTTTTTTCTATTTATTATCATTATTTGAGACAGAGTCTTGCTGTGTCGCCCAGGTTGGAGTGGAATGGTGCAGTCTCAGCTCACTGCAGCCTCCATGTCGCGAGTTCAAGCGATTCTCCTGCCTTAGCCTCCCAAGTAGTTGGTACTACAGGCACACGCCATTACACCTGGCTAATTTTTGTGTTTTTTTTAGTAGAGACGGGGTTTCACCGTGTTGGCCAGGCTGGTCTGGAATTCCAGACCCCATGTGATCCACCCACCTTGGCCTTCCAAAGTACTGGGATTACAGACGTGAGCCACCTCACCGAGCCATATTTAAATATTTTTTATTTTTTATTTTTTCACTTTTTAAACACTTTTGTTAAAAACTAAGACACAAACACATGCATTAGCCTAAACCTACACAGGGTCAGAATAATCAATATCACTGTCTTCCAGCTTCACATCTTGGCCCACTGGAAGGTCTTTAGGGTCAGTAACACACATGGAGCTATCATCTCCTATGATAACAGTGTCTTTTGTTTGTTTGCTTTGGTTTTTTTTTTGAGACAGTCTCTCTCTGTCGCCCAGACTGGAGTGCAGTGGCATGATCTCGGCTCACTGCAACCTCCACCTCCCAGGTTCAAGCGATTCTCTGCCTCAGCCTCCTGAGTAGCTAGGACTTATAGGCACATGCTCCCACACCCAGCTTTAGTTAACTATTTTTATAAGTAGAATACATAGTATACATAACATAGAATTCTACATAGGATATGTAAACCAGTAACATAGTTTATTTTCAAGTATTATGTACTGTACATAGTTGTATGTGCTATGCTTTTATACCACTGGCAGTATATTAGGTTTACACTTGCATGACCATAAACAAGGAGGTAATATGTTGCATTATGACAGCTACAGCATCACCAGGCAATAGGAGTTTTTCAGCTCCATTGTACTCTGATGGGACCACCATTGTGTACGTGGTCATTGTTGACAGAAATGTGTTATGTAGCACGTGACTATTTTTATTGCTGTTGCTTCAACTTTAAGGTGTTTGGGAGGCAGGGAAGGGAAAGCTGTGTGGTACACCTGGAAGACAAGTCTGCATGTGCTGTACTAATAATTGGGAGCCAGTGAAGGTTTTAAAATAGGGGGTGAATTAATCAGATCTTTTTCAGTAAGATGCTGAAATGCAAGCTGGATTGGAGGGAAGTCTAGTAGCAGAGCAACAAGTGTTTGCTTGGCTGCTGTTTGAGGACCTTGTAGATGTGAGACATGTTTGTTACATGCCTTCAACAATACATGGCTCAGCTGGGGAGATAAGGCATTCATACCAAGTGGGGAAATAAGGACACAGCCACCAGGTAATGGTGTATGGACAAGAAGTGCTGTAGCTGTTTGGGGAAGGCAAGATCACCAAGCTGAGCCGTTTTCCTGAAGCCTTCAGTGAGGAAGCCAAATGGCCTTGAGGAATGACTCAGATTTGGAAAGTGTTTTGGGGAGAGGCCAAGCACAAATCAAGAGGTCGGAGCGCATGGTCTGTGTGGAGTGGTGGGTTTGGCCAATAGTGAGCAGTATGGTTGGAAAGGAAAATTGCCGTGGCCTTCAACAAACCTGTTGTTACGCACCCTATCTTCTGACCCTCTCTCTTCACTGTACTGTACCTGCGTTACTCTCTTGCAGTTTGAGGCTTTTCAGGATAGAACAGTGTCCTAGTTATTTTCCCAGGTCTAGTAAACAGCCCAGCACATAGTAGATGCTTAAAAACAACAATAAAAGAATGATTGGATATTTGCTGTTTATGGAAGTTACAGACTGGATATCCTGCCGTTCCCTTAAACTTAGATCTCAAATAAAATCCTAATATCACCTCTCTCCTTCCCTTTTTTATTCTGTGCTAAGTTTAAACAGGTTAGGTGCCCCTCTGCTCCCACAGCTGTGTGCTTACCTTGCCATTCCATAATTATGGACATCTCTGCTGTGATCATACTGCATGACTCTCACCAGCACGTTGGATGTCCAACATGTCACATTTGCTTGGGACCCCCCCACTGCCTTTCCTCCTTCCTACTTCTTCACTCTCCTTTTCTGGCTTCTTTTCCTCTTCTCCACCTTCTAAATGATAGAGTGATTGCAGGGATCAGTCACTCCAAGTTAGCCTCTAGACCAGTGGTTTTAAATCTTTTTGTTCAGCCATACCAAATGCCGGACAAGTACAAACACACTACACCGTCTTGTGCACACAGACACAACAGAAACAAAAGTTTCACAAAACGGTTCTTATACTTCATGAGCCGTGGACTCTGTTATTTTCCATTCTGCTCTATTTCATTTTTTTTTAAGTGCTGTTCATGACCCACTAAATTGATTTCACAGCCTGCAGTTTGAAAAACTGCTCTGGGTGATCTCATCTACTCTGTTGGCTTTAAATACTACCTCTGTGCTAATGACCTTCCCATTTTTATCTCTACTCCACCTTTCCTTGGAGATCCTGTCGCATTGGCTGTCTCCCTGCTGTTTCCATGTGGATGTGCAATGGGAATCGCGTGTTGCCATGTTTGGCAAAGCACTCTTGATTCCCTTTACCAGCCTCGTTCCTCTTCACAAATGGTGCAGTGTTTGCAGTTGTTCTGTAAGGGATGGTGAATGGAGTACAAGCTCCCCAGTCACTGCCTAAGCTCAGATCTGAGGCCTTGGGCAGCTACACAACCTCTCTCTACCATGTTGTCTTCATTTGAATAAAGTGGGGTTGTCACTTGTACCTCTTGGGATTATTGTGACAGTTGAATGAATTTTCACCTGAAAAGACATGGAGCAGTGGCTGGCACATGGCTTGTGTTTAACTAGTGTTGGCTGCTGCTGTTTATCATTGTTGTTATGACTCTCATGTCCACTTCTGATCCGTTAGCAATTTCTGTTGGCTCTGACTTCAGACTGTGTCCGTTTTGACTGTGTGTCACTACCTCCATCAACACCACATTCACCCATGCAGCCAACGTCCCTTAACCAGACTACCAACTAACTAATTCCCTGCTCTGTCCTTGCCCCTCCCCTGGTCTGTTTTCCACAAAACAGCCAGAGGAGCCATTTAAGAACTGAAACCAGATCATGCCACTCTATAGTTTAAAACCCTCCAAAGGCTTCTAATAAAATCTGAACTTCCCCATGTGGCTCTTACTTTTTATAAGACCTTTCACTGGTACTTCACAAACAGTAACATATGTGTGACTTGCTAGTGACCTTGTTAACATGCAGAATCTGATCCTGTAGGTCTGTGGGGCCTGAGACACTACATCTCTAATAAGCTTGACCAGGTGAATGTGGTAAATATCAGCAGTAGTGGGATGGGTTGCCATCAGTCTTCTTCTTATGCAATGTCCTGGGAAGAATACAGCACCATGTGTCTGGTATTGCCGCTAAGGAAGCATGACCTGAGTCTGGTCACGAGGAAATACAGATCAGATTGAGGGTTATCCTGCAAAATGAAAAGACTGTACTCTGGCAGGGACATGGAAGTCAGGAAGAGAAAAGGGAACTATTCCAGATTGATTGACACTGGTGAGATGTAGCTCTGGGGTAGACTCCTGGACTAGAAAGGAAAGACATTGTTGGGACAGCTGACAAAATTCAAATGGGGTCTATGGATTGGATTGAGAGTGTAGTATCAGTGTTGATTTCCTGATGTGGAGGCTTGTATGCTGGTTATGGAGGAGAATGTCCTTGTTTTTGGAAATAACGCACTAGAGTATTGAGCAACAATGGAGCTTCATGCCTTCAGCCTGCTCTCAAAGGGGTCAGGAAAAGATAATGGAGCAAATGAGGTAAAGCATCAGTTGGAGAATCTCGTTGAAAGAGGGTATGTGAGCCCTTTGAACTATTTTTGCACTTTTCTGTACATTTGAAGTAATTTAAAATTACTATTTTTTTTTGAGAGAGGCTGTTGCTCTGTCTCCCAGGCTGGAGTGCAATGGAACGATCTTAGCTCACTGCAGCCTCCAGAGTTCAAGTGATTCTTGTGCCTCAGCCACTCGAGTAGCTAGGATTACGGGCATGTGCCACCATGCCCAGCTAATTTTTGTATTTTTAGTAGAGACGGGGTTTCACTGTAATGGCCAGGCTGGTCTTGAACTCCTGGCCTCGTGTGTTCTGCCTGCCTTGGCCTCTCAAAGTGCTGGGATTACAGGCGTGAGCCACCACGCCCAGTCTTAAAAATTATTTTTTAATATCCTATTGAGATTTTGACTGGAACCTATTAGAATTTTATAAACTAATATGTGGAGACTTAACGTCTTTACAATACTAGCCCTTTTTATCTAGCTATACCATTTGTTCTGCTAGTTTGTTTCTTTCCTTTTGTTTTGAGCTTTTTTGGGTTGTTCAGTGAAGTCTCTAATTTTCATATAGCTTTTGCCCACTTCTGCTTTGGATTGGTCATTGATATCTTTTGAATTTTAATTCAGAATTGTATTTGTTTGTTTTATTATTATTTCTTTTTAAGAGACAGAATCTCACTCTGTCACCCACGCTGGATGGAGTTCAGTGGCGTGATCTTGGCTCACTGCAACCTCCACCTCCTGTGTTCAAGCGATTCTCCTGCCACAGCCTCCTGAGTAGCTGGGATTATAGGTTTCCGCCACCGTATGTGGCCAGTTTTTGTATTTTTAGTAGAGACAGCATTTCACCATGTTGGCCAGGCTGGTCTTGAACTTCTGACCTCAGGTGTGATCTGCCTGCCTCAGCCTTCCGAAGTGCTGGGATTACAGGCTTGAGCCACCAGGCCCGGCCTCAAAATTATATTTGAATGAATTATAAAATGGAACATCCTTTTAGCCTATAAGTGGCAACACTAATTACCTCCCTTTTGCCTCTGAAGGTTTAGAAATTATGTATTAATACAACCTTTGAATGAAAAAATATATTCAATGACATCTCAGAAGCCCCTACGCTCAGCATTTAAGAAAATCCCACAGGAGCCTCTAGCTAGCCCCAGAGATGTCCTGCTCCCACCCTTCTCCTGCCCCCTTTTTGGGAACTGTTTGGCCATCCTGCTCACATATGTGGTCATCTGAAGTGATCTTGGGATGCCCCTGTGAAAATAAGACAGATAGCCATGGAGTGGGGGTGGGGCCAGGATAGGGCCCAGGTGCCTTTGGTCTGCTCAGGAGCAGATTTATAGCATCTCCTTGCAGAGTTACAGAAGCATGTGGTGGATATAGGATGCTTGCAGCCTCTTGGCTGTTTGAAATTATGCCTAATAATAGGCCTGCCGACTGTGGGTTGGAATTCAGCTGACTTTAGGCCTGATTCTCAAAAAATAATTTTGAGCTAGTGACCCTGTGTGCACACTTGCCTGGGCACTGTGGTGTCCAACAACCCTGTGTGTGGCATTGGCACCAGGTTTCCTGAAGTAGAGGTCCTGTCTGGCAGGCTCCTCCCTTCCCTCCTGCTTCTGACTTGTGGGGTCCCCTGTGCCTCTATTTCTTTCCCTTGGGCAGAGCAGCACTTTGCTGTCAGTAGGAACAGATAAAGCTCTGATACTGTTGAGATAGTTCAAGGGTTGTAATTTTTTTTTTTTTTTTTTTTTTGAGACGGAGTCTCGCTCTGTCGCCCAGGCCGGACTGCGGACTGCAGTGGCGCAATCTCGGCTCACTGCAAGCTCCGCCTCCCGGGTTCACGCCATTCTCCTGCCTCAGCCTCCCGAGTAGCTGGGACTACAGGCGCCCGCCACCGCGCCCGGCTAATTTTTTGTATTTTTAGTAGAGACGGGGTTTCACCTTGTTAGCCAGGATGGTCTCGATCTCCTGACCTCATGATCCACCCGCCTCGGCCTCCCAAAGTGCTGGGATTACAGGTGTGAGCCACCGCGCCCGGCCTAAGGGTTGTAATTTTTAAATGAGGTTAATGACATTTTGGCTGAGCACTGTGGCTCACCCTGTAATCGCAGCACTTTGGGAAGCCAAGACAGGTGGATCACTTGAGGTCAGGAGTTCAAGACCAGCCTGGCCAACATGGCGAAATGCTGTCTCTACTAAAAATACAAAAATTAGCCGGACGTGGTGGCAGGCACCTGTAATCTCAGCTACTTGGGAGGCTGAGGCAGGAGAATTGCTTGAACCTGGGAGGCAGAGGCTACAGTGAGCCAAGATTGCACCACTGCACTCCAGCAGTGCAGTGTAAGACTCTGTCTCAAAAAAAAAAAAAAAAAGTGATTATTTCCTACACAAAAATTAATGTAAATAGAAATGAAAAGGGGAAAAAATACTTCCACAACACTGCCATCTTGGATAGTCCAGAAGTTTTCCTTTTTTCTCCATTATTCCCTTTGGCCTGGGACTAAATGAATGCCTCATTTTCAGATAGTTATAATCATAGCACAGGTATAAGTTTACGTGAGCTGCTCTTTTCATCTGATACTATGTAATTTTCTATGGTGCTAGAGTCTTTGCAATTGTTTAAAATGATTATGTACTATTTCTTTGAGTGGATATACCATAATTTGTTTAATCAATTTTCAAATAGGTTGTTGCCAGTTTTTTCTTCTAATACATATTACTGGAGTGAATATGTTGGTATTTTGTTTTTTTGTTTGGTTGACTGTTTTATTACCAGTTTTCTTTTCCAAGAGTCATAATCATTTATGGTGCTTTTTTTTTTTTTTTTTTTTTTTTTTTGTACCAGCTTTAGCCTAACCTAACCAGATGGGATATCATCTTTTAAATTTTTTAGGAAATTTTTTTTTTGAGACAGAGTCTCGCTTGTTGCCCAGGCTGGAGTGCAGTGGTGCGATCTCACTGCAATCTCTGCCTCCCAGGTTCACGCCATTCTCCTGCCTCAGCCTCCTGAGTAGCTGGGACTACAGGTGCCTACCACCACGCCCGACTAATTTTTTTGTATTTTTAGTAGAGACGGGGTTTCACTGTGTTAGCCAGGATGGTCTCAATCTCCTGACCTCGTTATCCGCCCACCTCGGCCTCCCAAAGTGCTGGTATTACAGGCGTGAGCCACTGCGCCTGGCCAGGAAATGTAATAGTTACAAATTTATCCCCCTAGTTTTTGCCTGCATGTATTTGGTCATGATTCAAGGTGGATATTTTTTATGGCTTACATGGCTAATATGAGTTTTGACACCCAGAAAGCAATCTTTTTAGATATGCAGCATTCTTGTGGGTTTCTTTCCTTCTAGACAAGGAACTGACTTGCGAATTCTGAGTTGCTTTCAGACTCTTCTGATCTCCCAAGTCAGGGAGGAAGCCAGCACCTTCATTACACTTCATTTTATTCTGAAGTCCTATTACACTAAGATAACTTTTAGCCACTGAGAAAAATATAGGCTCTGCCCATGTGCAAACAGGACATAGAGTATGAAATATTAAGTCACTGAGCAGATCTTTATGCTTGATACACTTAGGAAGATCCCACATTTGCACATACACAAAACAAACGATACAGGTGTTACAGATATATCTAGGTACAAGCAGTCAACTAAATTCTAGCAAGATTCCTCAAGATTCCTTTCTAAAATGCTTCCCAATGTCACAGATTGGGAAATACAGACTGGGTTTTGCAGTGGGCATATTATATATCTTATCTCATTGTTTACCATGAATATTTTGCTTGTTTAACTTCTGAGTCTCCATTTACAAAAAGGATTACTAACATTTCTTAGATCATGGTAAGGATGAAATGCATTAACATTTGTGTAAAGCACCTGATAGTGTGTCACATGTGTGAGGCATGGCAATAATTGATAGCTACAGTTATTAGAGATCTGACCCAAGTGTGTGTCAGGATTTTCAAAAATATGCATTTGGATCTTCCTTGCCTAATTTTGTGGTACAGTGAAAGAAAGGGTTATGGGCTCTAGAATCAGAAGAATTGGAGTTACAGAATGTCAGCTCCAACTTGTCCTAGAGGAGTGACTTTTGGAAAATTTGGACTTTTGGAAAAAATTACATTAATTTTTCCCCCTCATTCATTAATTGAGTTACAGGTAAAACCACACAGTGACTAACATATATAGATTGCTAAATAAATGGCAATTATTTATTTATTTACTGGGACAGGTCTTACTGTAGCACCCAGGCTGGAGTGTAGTAGCGTGCAGCCTCGGCTCACTGCAACCTCTGCCTCCCAGGCTCAAGTGATCCTCCTGCCTCAGCCTCTGGAGTGGCTGGGACTACAGGCACAAGCCAGCACACCCAGCTAATTCTTTTGTATTTTTTGTGGAGACGGGGTCTTGTTATGTTGCCCATGCTGGTCTCCTGAGCTCAAACAGTCTGCCTGCCTCGGCCTCCCAAAGTGCTGGGATTACAGGTGTGAGCCACTGTGGCCGGCCAGCAATTTTTATTATATCAGTGGTACATACCTTAGATACTGGTTAAAGGTAAATACTTTAATTGGTTTGTTTTTACTAAGCAAGGTAAAGCCAACACATTCTCTGCTTAGAGGAAGATTTGTAGAGAAAATCACATGGATAACACATTTTAGGAGCTCTTAAGATACAGCAGGACACATTCTAAGAGCTCTTAAGAACCATATGATCTCATGTGGCAAGAAGGAATTTATGGGCCTGGGGATGCTTAAAAGGCTCCAAGTTGAGACCAAGGTGAGAGTGGGCCGATGGCACAAAGGGGGCTGAGCAGGCTTGTTTGAGAGGGTGGGGAGAAGCAGAAATTGTGTTGGGAAGATGTCACAGGGCTTCAGGGCCTATGGGGGGGTGTGATGGTGTCAAAATGGCAGTTAAGCAAAAGAAAGTACTGGGAAAGAGAACTTTTCAGGTGTTATTCTAGCCCAAGAAAGATGAAAATGACAGTGACGAGAATGGAATGGGAAAGGACAAATACAGGAAGGAGAGTAGTGTCATGATGAGGTAGCATGGTAAATACAGAGTCAAAGTGAAAGGTCAGTTTGGGGTTATTCTAAAGCTTCTTGCTTGGGATGATCATGGTTTTCTTTGAGAATAGGCAGTTGGGTCAGTTGAGGAAGAACAACCTTATCTTTGTCATTGAAAATGAGTTAGTTACTGCCTAATAATAAATGCATTTGTTGTCTTTTAGAAATGATTACAGTCACAAGTGACACTGTCCAGAGTCCTTAAGTACTGATCTGTCTAGAGGGCCAGAGGCCTTGCTCTGTCTCTGCATGGTCATTAAAACCTTTGCCATATGGGGCCGGGCGCGGTGGCTCATGCCTGTAATCCCAGCACTTTGGGAGGCTGAGGCGGGCGGATCATGAGGTCAGGAGATCGAGACCATCCTGGCTAACACGGTGAAACCCTGTCTCTACTAAAAATACAAAAAATCAGCCAGGCACGGTGGTGGGCGCCTGTAGTCCCAGCTACTTGGGAGGCTGAGGCAGGAGAATGACGTGAACCCGGGAGGCGGAGCTTGCAGTGAGCCGAGATATCGCCACTGCACTCCAGCCTGGGCAACAGAACGAGACTCCGTCTCAAAAAAAAAAAAAAAAACCCTTTGCCATATGGTTAATAAGCCCTATAGACCCCACATCCTTGGCATTCAGAGCCCAGCACCTGCCTGCAACTCTCTTCATAGTATCTCATCCAATTTTGGACTTTGGGCATTTCTTACTTTCTTGCAACTTGGCTATACATTTTGTCTGACATTTCTAAGTGTTTTGTTGAGGGAGGATTTTTAGTCCCTGTTCTATGTCATAGTGCATGAAATAGAAGTCTCTCATTCCCCAAGTGGCAATAGTCTACTCTGAAATCCTAGGAATGAGAAGAACTCTTATCAGTCAGGGTCCCAGTAGAAAACAGATGGCACATTCAAACTGGGTAATTTAAGGAGTGTTTAATTGTATCATTCAGGGTTCATTCAGGAAAAGAGAAGTTGTCTATTCCGGTATGAATGGTTTTGATACAGGAATTAAGGCTTTACCCAACCCTGGAAGAACTGGAATTGGGAAGGTTCCTGATGATTTCATACTGAAGTGTCATAGTGAATGGTTCTCGTGAGCTCATGGGGAAGCCGCTATGAATCCACGTGTGCTGCATCTACCTCCAGGGAATATCATCAACCTCTACGTTTATTTTGCCTTCTAAATCTCTCTTGCACTTCTCATTGCAAACTCTAACCCAGAACCATGCTGCTAAAGGGTTCTGGAACGGAAGTTCTCAGCTTCTGATCTGCAGAGGAGAGCTTGGAAGGAGGGTGGTCACGATGCTGAGTTGACAACAATGCAGAAGATTAATAAAGGGACTGGAAAGGGTGAGCAGGGTTTGGGGAAGCCAACAGGAAAGTGAAGTCTTCTGTGCTAGCAGTAGCAGGGAGTTGTTACCTACTGCCTTCTAGACCTGAAGGGCAGAGGATGAAGTGGTTCCTGGAGTTTGGAGAAAGTGGCTATATGTTGAGGTTGCCCGATGGAGCTGCAGCCATTGGTGGAGGGTCTCAGCCAGCCTCAGTAACCTCGGGGTGGGAGCCAGGAGAGTAAGTTCCTCTCACTTTCCTCCTCTCCTGCCTCTTACCAGCCAAACTGGGTCAGAAGGCAAGGGTGGTGGGGCCTGTCAGTTGTCCTTCCATTGTCCGTTCTAGGGCATAGAGTAGGGTGGAGATGGGTGAGGAGAGGCTGTGGGGGCAAACAGGGAATATCCCTTACACAGGCTATAACTAGATGCATCATTGTCAATGTCTTGAGGATTTAAAGGCAAAGAAGGAGAATAAGCAGAAAATCATGACAGAGGATGAAAAAATTAGCTGGGGCCAGGCACAATGGCTGAATTCTAGCACTTTGGGAGGTTGAAACAGCAGGATGGCTTGAGCCCAGGAGTTTGAGACCAGCCTGGACAGCACAGTGAGACTCTGTCTCTATTTTTAAGAAATTATAAAAATTAGCCATAGTCCCAATTATTTTTTAAAAATTAGCCAGGGGTCCCATGCCTGTGGTCCCAGCTACTTGGGAGGCTGAGGCAGGAGGATTGCCTGAGCTGGGAGTTGAGGCCGCAGTGAGCCTGTGGTCATGCCACTGCACTCCAGCCTGGGCAACAGAGTGAGACTCTCTTTCCAAAAAAGAGAATGGATTGGGAAGTGGGATGTTGTTGGACATATGGAGGAAGAAGGACAGAGAAAGCCAATGTTGGTTTTCTATAAGAGGGCAAGGTCATCAGCCCTCTAATAGGATGGGGAGAACAAGTCTGCAGCTGGTTATGAGTGAGTTTGTGAGGTCGGCACATGGACTCTGGAATGTTTAGGCACAGAGTTCTGGACCTCACTAATACACCTCCACAGCCCTTCTGAAACTGTTCAGAAAGTTAGGAATATAGGAGAAAAACAGGAAAGGGAGAGTCATTATGGATGGGAAGTACATCGGTAGGCCTCTTTTTTATTTATTTATTGAGACGGAATCTCGCTTTGTTGCCCAGGCTGGAGGGCAGTGGCGCGATCTCTGCTCACTGCAACCTCTGCCTCCGAGGCTCAGGCGATCCTCCTGCCTCAGCCCCCCGAGGTGCTGGGACTACAGGCACGCATCACCATGCCTGGCTAATTTTTGTATTTTTTATAAAGATAGGGTTTCGCCATGTTGCCCAGGCTGGTCTCGAACTCCTGAGCCCAAGTGATCTGCCCGCCTTGACCTCCCAAAGTTCAGGGATTACAGGGGTGAGCCACTGTGCCCAGCCTCTTTTTTAGAGTGTGTATGCAAGTTCCTTAGGTGACTTATTCCTTTGAGGTATCAGATTTTCCTTACTATTTGTATTCATTTAAACAAAGGAATTCAGGCACTTATTATTACTAATCACAGTGCTTTAAAACTGACTACACTGATGCTTTTTTTAAGATGATGGGATAAAATTGGAATTATCTCTATTAGCTTTTTTTTTTTTTTTTTTTTTTTTTTGAGACAGGGTTACTGTCACCCAGGGTGGAGCACATTGGCACATTCATAGCTCGTTGCAGCCTCGAACTCCTGAGTTCAAGCAATCGTCCTACCTCAGCCTCTTGAGCAGCTGGGACTGTAGGCACACCTCATGACACTGTGCATTTAAAATTTTTTTTAACCCAGGCTGGTCTTGAACTCCTGACCTCAAGCGATCCTCACACCTCAGCCTCCCAAAACACTGGGATTACAGGTGTGAGCCACCACACCCAGCCTATTACTTATTTTATAGCTCCAGGTTTACATTTTCTGTCGTTGGTATATGCTAGTTGGTTTTCTTAATTGGTTTACTTGGCATTCCTAAAAAAGATAAACCTGGGCAACCACCTTCTCCTACTCAGGTGCTTCATGTATACTAAGAATATTTAGCATGACTGGAACCCTGCAGGAGGTATTTGGCCTTGGATTTTTTTTTTTTCTTTTTCATAAAGTAGAACCATAACAATAGGGAAAGGGGTATCATACAGGACAGGGAATCTGCAGGGGAAGGCTGAGAACAGACCTAAGAAGGAGTCCTTCCTGTATCTGTTTTCCCTGTCTGGAGATAGGGCAGCCTCAGGCCTGATACCCTGATGTTTAAAGTGGCCTTTAGCTCTTGGTGGCTCCTATTTAGGAAGAATATGGAGCAAGTGGCAACATTGTTTATACACTCAGATCTTCAGAAGCCTGATTTTATTTCCAGAAGGATTAATTAAACAACATGTAACATAGCTTTTTATAGAGAATATCTCTTGAGAAGGCTTTTCATTAGTTTAAACTGCTAGCTTTAATGTTTTTGTTCAATTTAGCCCCCATTCAGCCTTGTTTTATCTAGAGAAGGCCACTGGCACTGAGGAGTAGAGCAGGAGCACATCACAAGGGGAAAAAATTAATACTCATGTAGACAGAATTGCTCTTGATAGTTCTAAGAATGATGGGGAGCGGGTGAAGAGCCAGCTGGAACAGTATGGAGGTCCTTATAAGAGGGTGGCAGTGAAGGGACAGATTTATTGTGGGTGGCTACCCACTTTCAAGGCCAAACTGACAGGACAACTGGTATTTTTTACTGACCATGTGGAAGACCCTCTGGGCAATGTAATGTTAAAAACATGTCCTGCCCCCAGCCCTGCTGCCTAGGAGCTTTGTGAACTCTGCTTCTGTTTCCTCATCTGTAAAAGGAGCGTGCTAGTGTTGTGAGGATTAAATGAGTTAGTGTATGTGAAGTGCTGGAACAGTGTCAAGCAGCATCATCACCATTTGAATAGCTATTACCTACTGCCCTGCAGATTCACTGGAACAAAGCAACAGAGGCATTTTGAATAGGATGAGAAGTTTCCTTTAGATTCTGACATTATTTGCACATGAATGTTTAGCGATTGTTTTGGGTCACATGACTATATAATCAAGCTTAAGGAAGTAGACCCTTGTCTAGCTGTTTTAGACTTACGATATTTCAAGATATGGGTCAAGCTTTTAGAATTTGGGGTTACTGGCCATCTTCTGCTCTAATCAATATTTACTTTCTGAAGTCTTTCCTCAGTTCTCATGTGGACTCAAGCTGGGTCTTTCCCTTAGAACCGGACTCATGGGATTTTACAGGCAAGGTCTTCAGCATCCTCCAGCTCTGCTTTTAGGTTGATCATATTCTATTTTCACTTTCTATAATTCTCTCATGTCACTCCCACAGCACCATCTCTGAATATGTGAGTTCTAGCCTAGTTCTCTAAGGCCTAGTTCTTACACCATTTAATCATTCACACAGACTCCGGTGTGATGACGTGAGGATTACAGCAAGGAACAGTCAGTTTCTGCCCTTTAAGGAGTTTACATTTTAGTCAGAGGAGAGACAGACAGTAAACAAGTAGCATATATGTGTCTGTTTGGAGTAAGTATGGGGCCAGGCAGGGGATAAAACAGGGGAGGGAGTTACAGCCAGGGAAAAGGTGTGGAGCTGGCTGTTTTTACTAGAATGACCAGGGAATGAGTGACACTTGCCCAAAGACTGGAAGGAGAGCAAGCTATCTGGCTCTGGGAGAAGAACGTGCAGGTGAGAACAGAGTTCCTATGTAGATATGTGGTAGGCCTGTTCCAGGAACAAGGCAACTGTGGGGCTAGAGCAGAGAGTGATAGGGGAGGAGCTCAGAGAGGTCAAGGGGGTGGGAGCAGGGGCCTTTGAGACCAGTTTCCCAAAGAATGAGGTGGGAGCCACTCCAGGGATTGGAGAGGATAAATCTGACTTACCTTTAAAAAGGTTGTTGACTTTCCTGCAGGCAACTCCATTTTCAGCTCCCCTTCAGGGGAACTAGGAAACTAGCTTCATAAACCATTGTAACTAAACTAAACTGTCTATTACACCTCACTTTACCCTATATGTATTTTGGAACTTGTTTTTTTAAGTAATTGGTTCTAAAGTCACTTGGAGCAATTTGGCCTTGTCCCTTTCATCTCTGACTCTGAGGAGACAGGCCCAGGTGAAAGGGGAAAAAATCAGCTTGATTGATTAAGAGGGATTATAATAGGTAATACAAAGTGGTGGCTCAGTCAGATAACTTTGAAAGAGTCTGGGTCCTAGGCTTGATGAATTCCTATTTTCCTCTCTGTTTTTTGCTGTCCTCCAAGATGATTGCTTCTAATTCTTTCATAGTAATGGCCAGTAATAACTGTGAATTTAAAAAACTGGCAAATACAAATACCACATGGCGGGTAAAGGTGCTGGAACTTCTTGGAAACCTCCCAAAATAATCTGGAAGAATAGTCACTGCTATTCACTGGCTTAAGTCTAGCCCTTTGTACCTGGGAATTGAAGGAGAGTGGTGGAGAGAGGGGTGCTGTAGACACAGTCATATGCCAAGAAGAGGTTGACTCCAAAGTTTGTGTGGAACCCATATGGGCTGAGTGTCCTGGAGTCACCAGTCATCACAGGTAGTTGGCAATTATAGTAAAGCTGCAAAAATTTGCACTTGGACATAAGGAATTGGCTGCAGTTCTCTGGCCAGGTCTGTTTCTCAGTGTTGGGGAGTGGCGATCAGCAGCCAGTGTTAAAACCCGCAGTTCAGTGATCACCCTAATACATGAAAGCAGAGAAATGAAAGTAGTGGCTTATGCCTGTAGTCCCAAAACTTTGAGAGGCCGAGGCAGGAGGATCATTTGAAGCCAGGTGTTTGATGCTGCAGTGAACTACGACTGTGCCCCTGCACACTCCAGCCTGGGCAAGAGTGAGACCTTGTCTCAAAAAAAAAAAAAAAAAAAAAAAAAAAAGGATTTGGTTTTTCTTACCCCACACCCCCTCCCCCGCATAACTGGGAGGCTTATTGAAAAATTGCTGTTTTTCATTGACAGTAATAACACAGCCCCATATTTTAATCTGGTTGAGTTTGGGGGCTCATTTGTCTAATAAGGCATTATTAGATATATGAGACATACATGTTTTTGCTGTATTGGGTTTGTATGCACTCAGAGTGCTGCTTTTCATTCTACTACAGATTCTTGCCTCACTCTTTAGGCCATTTCTCTGCATATGTGCATTTTCAGAAGTGGATAGGATAAAATATAAAAGATGAAATTCAAGGTCAGGCGTGGTGGCTCATGCCTGTAATTCCAGCACTTTGGGAGGCCGAGGTGGGCGGATCACGAGGTCAGGAGTTCGAGACCAGCCTGGCCAGCACAGTGAAACCCTGTCTCTACTAAAAATACAAAAAATTAGCCGAGCCTGGTGGCCATGCGCCTGTAGTCCCAGCTACTCGGGAGGCTGAGGCAAGAGAATTGCTTGAACCCTGCAGGCAGAAGTTGCATTGAGCTGAGATCGTGCAATTGCACTCCAGCCTGGGTGACAGAGTGAGACTCTTGTCTCAAAAAACCAAAAAAAAAAAATAGAAATTCAAACCAGTCAGCTTCATCTGGGCCTCTGATTCATCTTTATTCCCTCCATCATCTAGACTTGATTTTATTTGTACCAAGGAGATGCGTGTCTAATGTTTTTCTTTCTTCTATTTCTAGGAGGGCTGTTGGCCTGCTGCTGTGCTGCTGAACAGTATGCAGTCCTTTCGGGAGCAAAGCAGTTACCACGGAAACCAGCAAAGCTACCCACAGGAGGTACACGGCTCATCCCGGCTAGAAGAGTTCAGCCCTCGTCAGGCCCAGATGTTCCAGAATTTTGGAGGTACAGGTGGCAGTAGTGGCAGCAGTGGCAGTGGCAGTGGTGGTGGACGACGAGGAGCAGCAGCTGCTGCGGCAGCGATGGCTAGCGAGACCTCTGGCCATCAAGGTTACCAGGGTTTCAGGAAAGAGGCTGGAGATTTTTACTACATGGCAGGCAACAAAGACCCCGTGACTACAGGAACCCCACAGCCTCCTCAGCGAAGGCCTTCTGGGCCTGTGCAGAGCTATGGACCCCCCCAGGGGAGCAGCTTTGGCAATCAGTATGGGAGTGAGGGTCATGTGGGCCAGTTTCAAGCACAGCACTCTGGCCTTGGCGGTGTGTCACATTATCAGCAGGATTACACTGGGCCTTTCTCTCCAGGGAGTGCTCAGTACCAACAGCAGGCTTCCAGCCAGCAGCAGCAGCAGCAAGTCCAGCAGTTGAGACAACAGCTTTACCAGTCCCATCAGCCCCTGCCACAGGCCACTGGCCAACCAGCATCCAGCTCATCCCATCTACAGCCAATGCAGCGGCCCTCAACTCTGCCATCCTCTGCTGCTGGTTACCAGTTAAGAGTGGGTCAGTTTGGCCAACACTATCAGTCTTCTGCTTCCTCCTCCTCCTCCTCCTCCTTCCCTTCACCACAGCGTTTTAGCCAGTCTGGACAGAGCTATGATGGCAGTTACAATGTGAATGCTGGATCTCAGTATGAAGGACACAATGTGGGTTCTAATGCACAGGCTTATGGAACACAATCCAATTACAGCTATCAGCCTCAATCTATGAAGAATTTTGAACAGGCAAAGATTCCACAAGGGACCCAACAGGGGCAGCAGCAGCAGCAACCGCAGCAACAACAACACCCTTCTCAGCATGTGATGCAGTATACTAACGCTGCCACCAAGCTGCCCCTGCAAAGCCAAGTGGGGCAGTACAACCAGCCTGAGGTTCCTGTGAGGTCCCCCATGCAGTTTCACCAGAACTTCAGCCCCATTTCTAACCCTTCTCCAGCTGCCTCTGTGGTTCAGTCTCCAAGCTGTAGTTCTACCCCATCTCCTCTCATGCAGACTGGGGAGAATCTCCAGTGTGGGCAAGGCAGTGTGCCTATGGGTTCCAGAAACAGAATTTTACAGTTAATGCCTCAACTCAGTCCAACCCCATCAATGATGCCCAGTCCTAATTCTCATGCTGCAGGCTTCAAAGGGTTTGGACTAGAAGGGGTACCAGAAAAGCGACTGACAGATCCTGGGTTGAGTAGTTTGAGTGCTCTGAGTACTCAAGTGGCCAATCTTCCTAACACTGTCCAGCACATGTTACTTTCTGATGCCCTGACTCCTCAGAAGAAGACCTCCAAGAGGCCCTCATCTTCCAAGAAAGCAGATAGCTGCACAAATTCTGAAGGCTCCTCACAACCTGAAGAACAGCTGAAGTCCCCTATGGCAGAGTCATTAGATGGAGGCTGCTCCAGCAGTTCAGAGGATCAAGGCGAGAGAGTGCGGCAACTAAGTGGCCAGAGCACCAGCTCTGACACCACCTACAAGGGTGGAGCCTCTGAGAAAGCTGGCTCCTCACCGGCACAAGGTGCTCAGAATGAACCCCCCAGACTCAATGCTAGTCCTGCCGCAAGAGAAGAGGCCACCTCACCAGGCGCTAAGGACATGCCATTGTCATCCGACGGGAACCCAAAGGTTAATGAGAAGACTGTTGGGGTGATTGTCTCCCGGGAAGCCATGACAGGTCGGGTAGAAAAGCCTGGTGGACAAGATAAAGGCTCCCAAGAGGATGATCCTGCAGCCACTCAAAGGCCACCTAGCAATGGTGGGGCAAAGGAAACCAGTCATGCATCACTTCCCCAGCCAGAGCCTCCAGGAGGAGGAGGGAGCAAAGGAAACAAGAATGGCGATAACAACTCCAACCATAATGGAGAAGGAAATGGCCAGAGTGGCCACTCTGCAGCGGGCCCTGGTTTTACGAGCAGAACTGAGCCTAGCAAATCTCCTGGAAGTCTGCGCTATAGTTACAAAGATAGTTTCGGGTCAGCCGTGCCACGAAATGTCAGTGGCTTTCCTCAGTATCCTACAGGGCAAGAAAAGGGAGATTTCACTGGCCATGGGGAACGAAAGGGTAGAAATGAAAAATTCCCAAGCCTCCTGCAGGAAGTGCTTCAGGGTTACCACCACCACCCTGACAGGAGATATTCTAGGAGTACTCAAGAGCATCAGGGGATGGCTGGTAGCCTAGAAGGAACCACAAGGCCCAATGTCTTGGTTAGTCAAACCAATGAATTAGCTAGCAGGGGCCTTCTGAACAAAAGCATTGGGTCTCTATTAGAAAATCCCCACTGGGGCCCCTGGGAAAGGAAATCAAGCAGCACAGCTCCTGAAATGAAACAGATCAATTTGACTGACTATCCAATTCCCAGAAAGTTTGAAATAGAGCCTCAGTCATCAGCACATGAGCCTGGGGGTTCCCTCTCTGAAAGAAGATCAGTGATCTGTGATATTTCTCCACTAAGACAGATTGTCAGGGACCCAGGGGCTCACTCACTGGGACACATGAGTGCCGACACCAGAATTGGGAGGAATGACCGTCTCAATCCAACTTTAAGTCAGTCGGTCATTCTTCCTGGTGGTTTGGTGTCCATGGAAACCAAGCTGAAATCCCAGAGCGGGCAGATAAAAGAGGAAGACTTTGAACAGTCTAAATCTCAAGCTAGTTTCAACAACAAGAAATCTGGAGACCACTGCCATCCTCCTAGCATCAAGCATGAGTCTTACCGCGGCAATGCCAGCCCTGGAGCAGCAACCCATGATTCCCTTTCAGACTATGGCCCGCAAGACAGCAGACCCACGCCAATGCGGCGGGTCCCTGGCAGAGTTGGTGGTCGGGAGGGCATGAGGGGTCGGTCCCCTTCTCAATATCATGACTTTGCAGAAAAATTGAAAATGTCTCCTGGGCGGAGCAGAGGCCCAGGGGGAGACCCTCATCACATGAATCCACACATGACCTTTTCAGAGAGGGCTAACCGGAGTTCTTTACACACTCCCTTTTCTCCCAACTCAGAAACCCTGGCCTCTGCTTATCATGCAAATACTCGGGCTCATGCTTATGGGGACCCTAACGCAGGTTTGAATTCTCAGCTGCATTATAAGAGACAGATGTACCAACAGCAACCAGAGGAGTATAAAGACTGGAGCAGCGGTTCTGCTCAGGGAGTAATTGCTGCAGCACAGCACAGGCAGGAGGGGCCACGGAAGAGTCCAAGGCAGCAGCAGTTTCTTGACAGAGTACGGAGCCCTCTGAAAAATGACAAAGATGGTATGATGTATGGCCCACCAGTGGGGACTTACCATGACCCCAGTGCCCAGGAGGCTGGGCGCTGCCTAATGTCTAGTGATGGTCTGCCTAACAAGGGCATGGAATTAAAGCATGGCTCCCAGAAGTTACAAGAATCCTGTTGGGATCTTTCTCGGCAAACTTCTCCAGCCAAAAGCAGCGGTCCTCCAGGAATGTCCAGTCAAAAAAGGTATGGGCCGCCCCATGAGACTGATGGACATGGACTAGCTGAGGCTACACAGTCATCCAAACCTGGTAGTGTTATGCTGAGACTTCCAGGCCAGGAGGATCATTCTTCTCAAAACCCCTTAATCATGAGGAGGCGTGTTCGTTCTTTTATCTCTCCCATTCCCAGTAAGAGACAGTCACAAGATGTAAAGAACAGTAGCACTGAAGATAAAGGTCGCCTCCTTCACTCATCAAAAGAAGGCGCTGATAAAGCATTCAATTCCTATGCCCATCTTTCTCACAGTCAGGATATCAAGTCTATCCCTAAGAGAGATTCCTCCAAGGACCTTCCAAGTCCAGATAGTAGAAACTGCCCTGCTGTTACCCTCACAAGCCCTGCTAAGACCAAAATACTGCCCCCACGGAAAGGACGGGGATTGAAATTGGAAGCTATAGTTCAGAAGATTACATCCCCAAATATTAGGAGGAGCGCATCTTCGAACAGTGCGGAGGCTGGGGGAGACACGGTTACGCTTGATGATATACTGTCTTTGAAGAGTGGTCCTCCTGAAGGTGGGAGTGTTGCTGTTCAGGATGCTGACATAGAGAAGAGAAAAGGTGAGGTGGCTTCGGACCTAGTCAGTCCAGCAAACCAGGAGTTGCACGTAGAGAAACCTCTTCCAAGGTCTTCAGAAGAGTGGCGTGGCAGCGTGGATGACAAAGTGAAGACAGAGACACATGCAGAAACAGTTACTGCCGGAAAGGAACCCCCTGGTGCCATGACATCCACAACCTCACAGAAGCCTGGTAGTAACCAAGGGAGACCAGATGGTTCCCTGGGTGGAACAGCACCTTTAATCTTTCCAGACTCAAAGAATGTACCTCCAGTGGGCATATTGGCCCCTGAGGCAAACCCCAAGGCTGAAGAGAAGGAGAACGATACAGTGACGATTTCACCGAAGCAAGAGGGTTTCCCTCCAAAGGGATATTTCCCATCAGGAAAGAAGAAGGGGAGACCCATTGGTAGTGTGAATAAGCAAAAGAAACAGCAGCAGCCACCGCCTCCACCCCCTCAGCCCCCACAGATACCAGAAGGTTCTGCAGATGGAGAGCCAAAGCCAAAAAAACAGAGGCAAAGGAGGGAGAGAAGGAAGCCTGGGGCCCAGCCGAGGAAGCGAAAAACCAAACAAGCAGTTCCCATTGTGGAACCCCAAGAACCTGAGATCAAACTAAAATATGCCACCCAGCCACTGGATAAAACTGATGCCAAGAACAAGTCTTTTTACCCTTACATCCATGTAGTAAATAAGTGTGAACTTGGAGCCGTTTGTACAATCATCAATGCTGAGGAAGAAGAACAGACCAAATTAGTGAGGGGCAGGAAGGGTCAGAGGTCACTGACCCCTCCACCTAGCAGCACTGAAAGCAAGGCGCTCCCGGCCTCGTCCTTTATGCTGCAGGGACCTGTTGTGACAGAGTCTTCGGTTATGGGGCACCTGGTTTGCTGTCTGTGTGGCAAGTGGGCCAGTTACCGGAACATGGGTGACCTCTTTGGACCTTTTTATCCCCAAGATTATGCAGCCACTCTCCCGAAGAATCCACCTCCTAAGAGGGCCACAGAAATGCAGAGCAAAGTTAAGGTACGGCACAAAAGTGCTTCTAATGGCTCCAAGACGGACACTGAGGAGGAGGAAGAGCAGCAGCAGCAGCAGAAGGAGCAGAGAAGCCTGGCCGCACACCCCAGGTTTAAGCGGCGCCACCGCTCGGAAGACTGTGGTGGAGGCCCTCGGTCCCTGTCCAGGGGGCTCCCTTGTAAAAAAGCAGCCACTGAGGGCAGCAGTGAAAAGACTGTTTTGGACTCGAAGCCCTCCGTGCCCACCACTTCAGAAGGTGGCCCTGAGCTGGAGTTACAAATCCCTGAACTACCTCTTGACAGCAATGAATTTTGGGTCCATGAGGGTTGTATTCTCTGGGCCAATGGAATCTACCTGGTTTGTGGCAGGCTCTATGGCCTGCAGGAAGCGCTGGAAATAGCCAGAGAGATGGTGAGTATGAGAAATCTCTTACCAGCTTGGGATTTTTATTTCATTTGGTTCCTTTTCTTGCATGTTTTTGTTCTTACATGTCACATGATTATTCCTCCAAATTAAAGTGCCTATGCCCATGTGATGGACAGAAAATGAAATAGGTAATTTGGAAGATTTGTATAGACTTCTAAAATCGTTTTTCATTTTTTGAAATGTATAATGCTTATGAAGCATATTATTATATTTCAAGTTTCTTGGGCCACATCTTTTCTAACGCACACTTTCCAGTTAGGATATTTATTCTTTGGATCTGTTTCATAACTTATCCTGGGGCAGATCATCAACATCATCATCTTCATTTCTTTCTCTCCTCTATTGAATGTTCTGTTTCCTGAATCCCATTTCTTCCTCATTCTTAAAGTGAGCCTTCATTTAAGGGCGTGCATCATCCTTTAGTAGTTTTGTGAGAAAGGGTGTGTGGGAGTGTAAAAATGTTGAGATCCTATATATCTGAGCATGACTTTATCCTAGCCTCATGCTTAATTGAGAGTTGGCTAGGTGTGGAATTCTAGATTGGAAGTGATTTTTCTCTCACTGTCTTGCAGTCGTTCTTCCTGGTTTGTCCACTAGCTTCCAGTGCTGCAGTTGAGAAGACTGCCATTCTAATTTTTCATCCCTTGATGCATGTTCTGTTTTTCTTCTGGAAAGTTTGAGGATCTTCTCCTTTTCCCTAGGGTCTTGAGATGTCAAAATGATAGGTCTTGACTAGGTCATTTCATGGTTGTGTTGGCTACTCTATGAGATCTTATGTACGCTGATGTCTTTCAGTTCAGGCAATTTGTCATGTGGTAGTTCTTTGAAAATTTCCTTCCCTCTATTTTCTCTGCTCTCTTTATAATTCCTGTTAATATAAGGCATTTTACCTCCTGGATTGATCCGCTGTTTTTATCTTTTCTCCTCTGTTTTATGTTTTATCTCATTATCTTTTTGTTCTGATTTCTCTATGCTTTCTTCAGCTTTATCATCTAATCTTTTTTGTATGTGGGTTTTGTTTTGGTTTTGTTTTGTTTTGTTTTGTTTTGTTGTCACTCAGGCTGGAATGCAGTGGTGCGATCACAGCTTACTGCATTCTCGAACTCTGGGGCTCCCTGGTACCTGGGACTAAAGGTGTGTGCCACCATGCCCAGCTAATATTTATATTTTTTGCAGAAACAAGGTCTCACTGTGTTGCCCAGAGTGGTCTCAAACTGCTGGACTCAAGCAATCCTTCCACTTCGGTCTTCTAAAGTACCAGGATTATAGGCATGTGCCACAAGCCACAGTGCCCAGCCTTCTAGCCTTTTATTTACTTATTTTTTTTCTTGATATTTTGAAGAGCTTTTTTTTTCTCTGAATGTACTGACTTTTAAAGAATAATCAGAGCCTAGTTGATGGCTATAATCGTTTCTCTTGCTTTTTGAATACATTATAACGTATTTTTTGTTTTTGTTTTTGTTTCAGTTTCATGCCCTTACCCAGGCTGGAGTGCAGTGATGTGATGATGGCTCACTGCAGCCTCCAACCACTGGGCTCAAGGGATCCTCCCAAGTAGCTGGACCACAGGTGCATGCCAGTACACCTGGCTAAGTTTTTTACTTTTTGTAGAGACAGCATCTCACTTTGTTGCCCAGGCAGGCTGGTCTCACCACCTGAGCTTAAGCAATCCTCCCACGTCAGCCTTCCAAAGTGCTGGAATTACAGGCGTGAGCCACTACACTTGGCCTGTACTATAATTTTTAAAAATCTTTGTCTGTTTCCTATTTTCTCTTTCTTGTTAGAGGTTCTTCAGATGTCTTGATTTTTTTTTCTTTATTGAGATGGGGTTTCGCTCTTGTTGCCCAGGCTGGAGTGCAATGGCGCAATCTCAGCTCACCGCAACCTCCGCTTCCCAGGTTCAAGCGATTCTCTTGCCTCAGCCTCCTGAGTAGCTGGGATTAGAGGCATGCGCCACCATGCACAGCTAATTTTGTATTTTTAGAAGACATGAGGTTTCTCCACGTTGGTCAGTCTGGTCTCGAGCTCCTGACCTCAGGTGATCCGCCCACCTCGGCCTCCCAAAGTGCTGGGATTACAGGCTTGAGCCACTGCACCCAGCCTTGATTTATATTTTTAAGAGAGAAAGAGATGTTTTAAAAAATGACTTGAAGCTCTCTGTTACAGTATGGGCCAGGCTTGCTAGCCTGTAGTCCTCTCCGTAGAATAATAAGGCAGCCAGCCAGCATATGGGTCTTTTTTCTGAGTTGAGTTTTCCCAGAGGAAAAAAAAACATTTTTTTTTTTGTTCCAGAGAAAAATCTTGAGATTTCCTGTCTAGAGATGCAAGCTTGGCTGCCAGCGTCCTAAAAGCCAAGTGGAGAAGAGGATGGTAGGGTTGTGTGGGTGGGGATATGGGCTCATGATTCAGTGCGCGGACTTTGACAATCTCCCGCCTGTTTTCAGTGGATGAGAACAGTTACCTGGTTGAACTGGGTTAAGGATCTAACTCCTCTTAGAAACTTTGGGCTAATGCTCTATTTTTCAGCCCCATGTTGCACCCCCACTTACTGAGGCCTCCCCAAGCTCTGTGCCCTAAAGTGGCTGGCTTTCTGGGGGCTCCTCCACTGCACTCATCATTACTGTCTGCTTCCTTGCAGTGCACAGAATCACTGTCACTCACTTCATCTCTCATGTTTCCAGCTTCCCATTGCTCATGGTGTCATGAGTTTATCTTGCAAGTTTATCCACTTTTTCGTGGGAAGGGATCAGATGGATGTACAACTGTATGTTTAGTAGTCTACCATATTATTTATAACCTTCTGGCAAAAAGAAGTGCCCATAGACTATAGTAAAAATTATATTGAATGTGAAATATATATTTGAAATTAGAACATTTTAATTCAGTCATGCAAGGAGCTTGCCCTTTACTCTTATCATGTCCCCTATCTCCCAATTACGGTCTTTTCTTTGTGCCTCCTTCCCTGTCTCCATTATTAACATCACGGTGAAACTCCAAGTTTGAGGTAGAAGATTCACTTCCCCTAAGAAGTTTATACACAATGACATTTTAAAATGCAAAGATCCTAGGAGGATGTAACATTTAAGACCCTCAAGTACAAAATTCTTTAGTCAAATTTGAGCGCTCAAAATAATCCGTTAATCATCCTCTTGTCAAAGTTGAGTTCTTGCTTCCCAACTTTCCTTGGAAAGTCACAGTATTTGGTGGGTTTTTTGTTGTTTGTTTTTTGAGACAGAATCTCACTTTGTTGTGGGGTTTCACCATGTTGGCCAGGCTGGTCTGGAACTCCTGACCTCAGATCATCCATCTGCCTTGACCTCCTAGAGTGTTGGGATTACAGGTGTGGGTCACTGCGCCCAGCCTGTTTATTGCTTTTTGATGTGCATATGTGTATGTGACCATCTGACAGTGTTTTCGTTATTTCAACATTTATTATTAACATATCTCAGCCCAGTTTTTTTGTGTAAACTTTTAGGTGTTCTATAGCAATAATTGATAATCAGTAATCAGGCTAAATCTTCCCCAGCAAATCTCTAGATCCTGTGTCTCAATTCAGGTCTTGGGCCGAGCATGATGGCTCACGCCTGTAGTCCCAGCACTTTGGGAGGCCGAGGTGGGCAGATCGCCTGAGGTCAGGAGTTCAAGACCAGCCTGGCCAACATGGTCAAACCCCGTGTCTACTAAAAATATGCAAAAATTAGCTGGACATGGTGACAGGCACCTGTAATCCCAGCTACTCGGGAGGCTGAGGCAGGAGAATGGCTTGAGCCTAGGAGACGGAGGTTGCAGTGAGCCAAGATGGTGCCACTGCACTCTAGCCTGGGCGACTGAGTGGGATTCAATCTCTAAAAAAAATAAGAAAAAAGTTAGGCTTGTTGTCTCTTTGAGCTGATGTACCACTATCACTATAAGATCCGTTTCTAGCTTTTATTTACCTAGCTTTTATTCTACTTTTCTCAGTGCACTCAAGGACAAATTAAAATTACACTAACTTGCCTTTTATTTAATTTGACAGATGATGTTTCAATTGTCCAGGATACTTTGAGTCTAGTTTTATCTTACTAGGTTTTAGCAGATAGATGCATTCAGTTTTGGTCTTGCTTAATGAGCATGCCCTTAATCCTATCATGTAAGATAAAGTCACATATATTTCATTAGAGATCCATTTTGGCCTATGTATTTATCAGGTGTTTTGACAAGCACGATGTTATATTAAAATATTGGGAAGTCCTCAAGAGACATTGCTCCTCTCCCTGTGTCACACTACTCTGAAAATTGCCGAAAACTAGAACATTTCTATATTTAAAAATGGTGTTTACTTCCCTTCCTTTTTCCCTTCCTTTTTCCCTTCCCACAAGTGTGGGACTTGTGAATCTATTCATTTCAGCACAAGTCCCCTTTGCTTCTGTCCAACATTGACCACTGTTTGCCTTGGTATAATTGTGTATGAGAATCACAATGACCTCTGACATGAATGATATTACAGAGGTAATTGCCTCTGAATGGGTATGGATATAACTTGGTATGTACAAATCACCTTTGAGACATTAAGGAATGCCAAGGCGTGCAGGGATGTGACAGAAGGTAGATCTGGTGGCCATGGATCCCTTGAGGCTGGATAGCCCTACTAGTGGGGGAGTCGGGGAGTCTTTGCTTGTTCCCCTCTCATAGAAGGTGCCCCTCCCAAATTTTTCCAACCCCCCTTGGGAAACTTTTAATCTTTTTTTTTTACCTGACAGTATATGTTAACTGGTTTTAGGTTAATTTTTATTTTCTATTTTTATTTTTATTTTGAGATGAGTCTTGCTCTGTTGCCAGGCTGGAGTGCAGTGGCACAATCTTGGCTCACTGCAACCACCTCCTCGTGGGTTCAAGTGACTCTCCTGCCTCAGCCTCCCAAGTAACTGGGACTGCAGTCATGCACCACCACACCTGGCTAATTTTTGTATTTTTAATAGAGACAGGGTTTCACCATGTTGGCCAGGCTGATCTCAAACTCCTGATCTCAAGTGATCCACCTGCCTCAGCCACCCAAAGTGCTGGGATTACAGGCCTGAGCCACTGTGCCTGGCCAATTTTCTTTAAATTTCTGAATCAATATATTAAAGATTATATTTAGGGTTTTTTTTCCTTGATTTTTTGAGACAGGGTCTCACTCTGTTGTCCAGGCTGGAGTGCAGTGGCATGATCTCGGCTCACGGCAACCTCCGCCTCCTGTATTCAAGTGATTCTCCTGTCTCAGCCTCCCCAGTAGCTGGAATTACAGGTGCGTGCCACCACACCCAGCTAATTTTTGTATTTTTAGTAGAGACGGGATTTGAGGATGTTGGCCAAGCTGGCCTTGAACTCCTGACCTTAAGGAATCCACCCTCCTCGGCCTCCCAAAGTACTGGGATTATAGGTGTGAGCCACTGCACCTGGCCAGTTTAGGGGCTTATTTTTAATACAAGTTTAAATAATGGATAATTATTTACTTCCCCCATCTAACAGACTCACATCTTTCTTAAATTTACTTTAAATTGTGATGGAAAACATGATTTGGAAAATATAAAATAGATTGATTACATTATGAAAATGAAATCACATATTAAAACATCAAAACAGCCAAGTCAGAAAGGTAGGCTCTCTAGTTTAACTGTAAAATAGAGCCACCAGTCTACATGCTCTCTAAATTCTCAACTATATGTTCCTTGAAGGTGGTCATTTCCAGGGCCTGGCAAGGCCCCCATCCTGGTGAAGGCTCCCTTCAACTCCTGTTCTCTGCTCCTAACTCCAGTACCTCACCCCCACCCCTACCTGATTGTTCTTCCTCTGTGCTTGCTACAACTGCCCTTTCTCACATTCCCACACTCCCTTTCTCCATTCTCCTCTCCCTCCCAGCCCCCTCTCTCTGGCAAGCACTTGCTTTTTGTTACTTCTGCTGGGACCCATCTTCATTTCTCACTCTCTAGGCGGTGGCGCCCTGTTCCCATGGCTTTCAGTATATAGCAGAGACTTGTATCTAATTTACCTGTTTTTCTTAACACTGTGTGGTATATCTTTTTATATCACTGCATGATGACATTGACACTAAATTTCCAGAGAAAAGGTTCATTTTCTTTCAGGATTTCGTCCAAATTCTAAGGAATCAAGTGAAATTTTCAGTTTTGAATTTTATTGCATATATTACCTTACAGAATAAATCATGACAAATTGAAGGACTCAAATTTTACTACGATTTATTTCTTGACTTTTTTTTTCTCTCTAGAGGTAGGGGGATGATGTGGGGAGCATTACACTTGATTTTAAAGTAAAATTTATAAGGAGTACACGATTCTTTGGCCAAGGCTGGGCAAGGTGGCTTATGCTTGTAATCCTAGCACTTTGGATTACCTGAGCCCAGGAGTTTGAGACCAGCCTGGGCAACATGGAGAAACCCTGTCTCTACCAAAAATACGAAAATTAGCCAGTCTTAATGACCTAGTCTCAAAATAAATAAGTAGAGAAAAATATTCAAAAAAATCCCAAAGGACCATAAACAAAAATATTGATAAACAAGCCACAACACACAAGTTATTATATGTTAATTACTCATCCCTGGGATGTTAAACTAGTTATTGCTAATCTGTTAAAAGAGCTAACAGCAAATAGTATGTAAAAGCAGGCATCCCTTTCAATTCAACAAATATCTTGAGTCTCTACTGGAAAACCAGTTGAAATGTGAAGTTAAACTCCTGTCAGGGAACTTGCAGGGTGACTCAGCCTCAGCCTCGGCCCCTTAGCTGGTGTGTGGTTAGAGAAGCTCTATGTCAAGGCTTCTGAACTTCATGCAGGAAAGTTTGTGTGATTCTGCAGAAAGCAATGCCTTGCCGCACACAGGTCCTGCACTAGGGCTTCGATTTTTCCAAAAGATACGGCTTGCTTCATCCAATACTGTTTCAGGAAAATGGAGGTTCCTCCTCCGCACCCCAAGCCAAGGCCAATTTCGCGGGACCCTCAAGGCTTGCTACTGCAGATCAGATTCGTCCAATTTATTGGAAAAACGTATGAGAAGAGAAAATCAAGGCAGCTAAACACTTGCCCCGGAAGGTCCTGGCTTTTGCCGTTCTCCTCAACAGCTGTGTAGAGGGGAGGCCTGGGTGAGAGCCCCAGAGTCACACTGCTTCATATGAATTCCAGGACTTGTTGTTTCCTTGCGAGGTCACTAGCTCAAGTCACTTAACCTCTGTGCTTCACTGTCCTTACCATACAAAGTATGAAAACTGACAGCACCTACAGTAAAGAGGTATGTTAGGAGGATTAAATGTGTTGCTCTTTGGAAAGTGCTTAGAGCAGTGTTTGGCACATTTCAACAGTTAGGTGGTTTCAGAGGAAATGCAAGCTGCAGACTGGTGACCGCCCTCAGATGGTGTCCTCCCTCATTGTTGTCTTAGTAAAGATGTGTTCCTGTTAGCAAGCTCACTCAGTACTCTATAGCTTATGTTGTAGTTCCATCATAGTGCAGCTAGCTCATCTTGCCAGGGGTGTTCAGAACTTAATCTCTTTGAAAGTTGTCCTTGGTGGAAATAAAAACATTATCTCCTTTTTACTCTTGTTGGAAACTCAAGTTTGCTGCGGGGGGAAGGGTGGCAGGGTGTGAGGTATTTCAGGTGCAGTATTAATATTATGTCTTATGAAATAGCATCAGCCAACACGAACACACTCAGGAATTATATCTCTCAAAAGACAGAAGGCAAAAGGGAGGGACTAAAATCTACCTTGCATGTTAAGTAAAAGCATTAACATTCTAGTGAGATGACAAAGTTTTGATAGCGATTATCTAAAGCGAAAGAAAAGAATCTGCCTGGTAGTAAAGTTGGGTTTTTTTGGTTTGGTTTTGTTTTTTTTTTGAGACTGAGTCTTCCTCTATCCCCCAGGCTGGACCGCAATGGCACAATTTCGGCTCACTGAAACCTTCGCCTCCCAGGTTCAAGCAATTCTCCTGCCTCAGCCTCCTGAGTAGCTGAAGTTGCAGGCACCTGCCACCATGCCTGGCTAATTTTTGTATTTTTAGTAGAGACGGGGTTTCACCATGTTGGCGAGGCTGATCTCGAACTCCTGACCTCAACTGATCCGTCTGCCTCAGCCTCCCGAAGTGTTGGGATTACAGGCATGAGCCACCGCGCCTGGTCTAAAGTTGTTTTTTTAAGTAAACTTTTTAACATGTCAGCACTAAAAGGCCCAAAATAATTAAGAATTCTGAGTTTGTGTGGTGTATCCACAGAATGATTCAGGACAAATACTTCCCTATAGCATTCCACCTCCTCCCCTAAAACAGTGAATATACTGAGAATATGTGAACTCCAGAGGGCTTGTATTAGTCCGTAAAGAAATACCTGAGGCTGGGTGATGTATGAAGAAAAGAGGTTGAATTGGCTCACAGTTCTGGAAGCTGTATAGGAAGCATGATGCCTGCATCTGCTCAGCTTCTGGGGAGGCCTCAGGAAACTTACAGTCATGGAGGGAGGTAGAGGGGGAGCAGGAAGGCTTCTTGCATGGCAGGAGCAAGACAGAGTGAGGTGCGAGGTGTTGCACACTTTCAAACAACCAGGTCTTGTGAGAACTCAGTATCACAGGAATAGCACCCACATGATCCAGCCACCTCCCACCAGGCCCTGCCTCCAGCATTGGGTGCTACAGTTCAACCTGAGATTTGGTGAAGTCACAGATCCAAACCATATCAGGGATCTATTGTATTTGAAGGATTTAGCCTTTAATTTACGGGCAGTGCAAAACCATTAGTGATTTCTAAGCGTGTAAGTCACATGTACAGGTTTGTGTTTTATAAAGGAAACTCAGGAAATAAGTAGGGAGACATCAGAAGCAGACAGGTCATTCGAGAGGCTGTGGGATTAATTTGTGCAAGAGCTGGTAAGGACCGAGTATGTGGTAGAAACGGGAGTCAGAAGGATTGGATGGATCTGAGAAACGTTTTAGGGATTCAAAGTTGATAGACTTTTTTTTTTTTTTTTTTTTGAGACGAAGTCCTGCTCTGTCACCCATGCTGGAGTGCAGTGGCACGTTCTCGGCTCACTGCAACCTCCACCCCCCAGTTTCAAACATCCTCCCAGGCCTCAGCCTCCCAAGTAGCTGGGATTACAAGCATGTGCCACCATGCCGACTAATTTTTGTATTTTTTAGTAGAGATGGGGTTTGACCATGTTGGCCAGGCTGGCCTCGAACTCCTGACCTCAGGCGATCCACCTGCCTCCCAAAGTGCTGGGATTATAGGCGTGAGTCACCACACCCGGCTAAAGTTGATAGATTTTAAACACTGACTAGATGCAGCAGGTTTGGGAAAGTGAGGAGGCAGAGGTCAAGGATGAAGTTGAGGTTTCTAGCTCCAGCAAGTCAGTGGGCGAGGTGAGGGGTCATCAACATACCAATAACAGAAAGAAGGGTTGAAGAAAAGAAATTTAGGTTTGCGTTTAATATGTATTAGACAAGAAAATATTAGATATGAAGGCAGTTCAGCCTAATATACATGTTTAGATAAGTCAACACTAGATTCTAATACAGCATTTTAAATAACTGCTTGCTTTTTATTTAGCCTTTCAAATAGATGTAAACTGATAAATTTTTAAATCCAAATTGAAAGAAAGTGGAGAGAAAAATAGGAAATCATGAGGTCTGTGTCATGTTTATAAAAAAAAACCCAGAGAATCCCAAAAAGATACCAAAAAAATTTAAGCTATCATCATAATTATTCCTAAAATGTAATTGGAAGGGGAAACAGAAAGGATAACTTGCTGTTTGGGCTTTTTTTTTTTTTTGGACAGAGTCACTCTTGCCCAGTCTGGAGTGCAGTGGTGCGATCCCAGCTCACTGCAACCTCTGCCTCCCAGGTTCAAGCGATTCTCCTGTCACCACATCTGGCTAATTTTTTTTTTTTTTTTTTTTTTTTTTTTTTTGTAGAGATGGGGTTTTGCCATGTTAGCCAGTCTGGTCTCGAACTGCTGACCTCAGGTGATCCACTTGCCTTGGCCTCCCAAAGTGTCGGGATTACAGGCCTGAGCCACCACACCTGGCCTGTTTAGACTTTTAAAATAATTTTCCCAAGATACTGACAATGTGGTGAAAAACCAAGACTGTATTTAATTACACTGAGAAAGAGCACATGTCAAACATTTTTATGGGCCTGAAGAAAACCTCTCTGTTGTGCACAGTTGTACCCTATTTCCTCAGTTTCAGAATGCAGCCTCGTGCCTTTATGCACTGAATTGAGGCTAGGCAAAGTGCTACCACATGACTCTATGGTGAAATGGGCTCTGAAGTGGGAATCGTCGCTCTGCCCATAGGAAGGAGCAAGAAACATGGGAAAAGGCAGAAGAAAAGAAAAATTGGCCACAGGGTTTAGATGAGGTGCTGGCACCATCTGTGCTGGTCAGGGTTCCCATTTGAACTCCTGAGTCATGAAAAAGATTTACATATTATTTACATAAAGATAACAGTATTATTCTTATTGTAAAACTAATGGAACTGTTCGTAGAAGAATGCCGCAATCCTGATAACCCAACATATCTGACTCTTCTAGATTTTGTCCATGTGCTGATTATTTCACTAGATATAATAGTATAATACAGTTAGCTTCCCATATTCATGGGTTCTGCATTCTTAGATTCAATCAACAGCAGATTGGAAATATTTGGAGGGGGCAGGGCGCAGTGGCTCACGCCTGTAATCCCAGAACCTTGGGAGGCCAAGGTGGGCAGATCACCTGAGGTCAGGAGTTCAAGACCAGCCTGGCCAACACAGTGAAACCCTGTCTCTACTAAAAATACAAAAAAAATTAGCTGGACGTGGTGGCGGGCGCCTGTAGTCCCAGCTACTCGGGAGGCTGAGGCAGGAGAATGGCGTGAACCCAGGAGGCGGAGCTTGCAGTGAGCCAAGATCACGCCACTGCACTCCAGCCTGGGCGACACAGCGAGACTGTCTCAAAAAAAAAAAAAAAACTTGGAAAAATTCCATCTGTTCTGAATATATACAGACTTTTTTCTTCTTGTCATTATTCTCTAAATGAGAAAGTATAACAACTTTGCATAGCATTAGCTACATCATATTAGGTATCATACATAATCTAGAGATGGCTTAAAGTATACAGGAGGATGTGCTTAGCTTATATACAAATACTGTGCTATTTTATATAAGCGACTTGGGCATCCGTGGAGTTTGGTATTGGCAGAGGTCCTGGAACCAGTCCTCCATGGATGCCAGGAATGACTGTAATGACTGCTAACATGTACTGAATGCTTTCTAAGCACTATACGTGAATTACCACATTTAGACCTCAAACCAACCCTTTCTGGTGGGTCTCATCACACTCCAGGTGAGATTTGAGGTCCAGAGAGGAGCTTGCCCAGGATTCAAACCTTGTGAGTCTCCATCATCACAGTGTAGATACAAGTCTGTGTTGCTTTTTTTACTTTATTTTGTAATTTTAATTTTCATTCTAATCTGTGATTTCTTTTTTCTTAGTTTAGCGTGAGTATAATGTAATTTATTCAAGTACCGCACTTTTATTGAGGTGGTTTCCAGTTAATTTACTACTTTCTATGGAGCAATAAGCATTTTTATTTTTCGATTTAAAGAAAAATTTATGGCTGTTGAACTGCTAGGTCAAGAAGGGCCAACATTGTTATGGTTTTTGATAGGCATTGTCTTGTGGTTTAATCAACAAAGGGTCATAACAAGGCATGAGCATCCATGAGGACAGGTGAGCCTGTTTACTGCTACCTCAGTGGCATTGGACCTTCTTTTTAAACTTTTAGTTCCTTTTCATTTATTTTATTAGTGATATTAATGTTGTTCCCTGTTAATTTTGTGTTTAATGTCCATTAATTGTTAATTTGGAATTTTATTATTCTCAATTTGTTTTTCTGTACCTATTTCTCATAGCCTGAATCACTTCTCTGGAAAATTGAGATGTATGGAACTCCTTTCTTCAGGGGTGCCCCTAAATTAGGCATTAGTAGAGCTCTTAAAAAGTTTCTCATCCCAGCCGGGCACGGTGGCTCACGCCTGTAATCCCAGCACTTTGGCAGGCCGAGACGGGCGGATCACAAGGTCAGGAGATCGAGACCATCCTGGCTAACACGGTGAAACCCTGTCTCTACTAAAAATACAAAAAATTAGCCGGGCGTGGTGGCGGGCACCTGTAGTCCCAGCTACTCTGGAGGCTGAGGCAGGAGAATGGCATGAACCCGGGAGGCGGAGCTTGCAGTGAGCCGAGATCGCGCCACTGCCCTCCAGCCTGGGCGACACAGCGAGACTCCATCTCAAAAAAAAAAAAAAAAAAGTTTCTCATCTGTAAATTAGATGATGATAGAGGACTGTAAAGGATAAAACTAACTTTGCTGGAAATCAAGTAGCCTCCTTGGTGGAGGCTAAACTATTCCTGGAAGCTTTTGAGTTGATGTGGTTTTAAAGGAAGCAAATATTATGAGCTACCTAGCATCAGCCTTAGAATTGTGTCCTCATGTGTTGGTTTAGTAAAGATAACCCTCCTGTCTCTAAACTTATTGGTGGAAATTAAACTGAAGAGAAAATTCAGCCCTATCTGATGCTGTCCACGTAAACCTGGTAATAGTGGAGTGATTTTGGTTGTATGCACTTAAGAGCTGACACTTAATTTGAAGATGTTGGCAGCATACTGCTGTCAGTTAACGTGCCTTATGAAAATAGAATTGAAGAACTGCTACACAGGCAGATAGACAATACCAGGGTCAACAGAATAACAAATTTCCAGCCGAACTCAAATCTGAAGTGGTGCTAGTCCCTTCTGATGGACTAGCACCACCAGTGGGACCTGGGTGCCCTGACATTGTTCAGCGGTGGAGGCATTTCATCTCTGTTATGTGTTTCTCACGGAGCAGCTAGTGGAAGTTTCTAGTAAAATGTATATTCATCTAACAAGTCTCAGGCCTATTCATTGTGGCTGGCTCCCTAGGGGTGCCATGTGGTTCCAGACTTTGAAAGCTGTGATTGTGAACCTTAAATCTTAGTTCAGACACATGTCAGGTGAAGGCCTCTGGTTTGCTTGAAAGTTATTTTTGTTTTTTCATACAAAGCTGGTTGCTAGGATAATAGTGTAATTCATTAGGATAAGTGATAGGACAGTTCCCAAATTATTCTGTTTGCTTGTTTCTAGGTAGGGTTCTTTATTGAAGTAATAAAAATATACTAATGCTTTGAAAGGGCAACCCCTCAAAAATGAAATGTATTTGTTTGCTGATATAAGACTTTGTGTCTCCCTCCTCTTCAGAGAGCAGGCCTGGGCATTTTAATCCACTATTATTTGTGAAAAGCACATCGATTTAAAACCAGCTCACCTGTCACCTCATTCCCCAGGCAGCAAGTGCTGCCCAGCTGCACTCCCATTTTACCTGTTACACCACTTAGCACCCATGGGTCAAATCCCCCAAGTCACTCCAATAGTGGCAGGTCTGAGTGCCTCCTCACTGAGGGTAGGACAGACCTCTGAGACCTTACTGACTCAGCCTTCCCTTTGCAGGTTACACAGACCCAACAGTATTCAGAGCCTATGCCTCCCAGCACTTATGCAAATGCCCAGCTAAGCTGGAGCTGCTCTTGGGGTGACTACCAGCTTATCTGATTGTCGTCCTCACCAGATAGGCTCCCCAAGGGCTGAGTTGGCCCCAGAGCCCACCCTAATGCCTGGCATGGGGGGTGATCAGTGCAGGGTAAATTTGTGACTGACAGGTTCTTTAAGAGACACGTAGAAGCAATGTAACCTCCAGTGGGAAGAGGTGGGCCTTTGGATGCCATTTAAATATGTATGTTTAAAAGTATGTAATATTGAGCTGGGCATGGTGGCTCACACCTGTAATCCTGGCACTGTGGGAGGCCGAGGCAGGCGGACCACCTGAGGTCAGGAGTTTGAGACTAGCCTGGCCAACGTGGGGAAACCCCATCTCTACTAAAAATACAGAAGTTAGCTGGGCATGGTGGTGGGCACCTGTAATCCCAACTGCTGGGGAGGCTGAGGCGGGAGAATCGCTTGAACCGGGAGGTGGAGGTTGCAGTGAGCTGAGATCGCGCCATTGCACTCCAGCCTGGGTGACAAGAGCGAAACTCCATCTCAAAAAAAAAAAAAAAAAGTATGTAATATTGGAAATAATTTGTGAATATGCTGGTCAGAATTTTAATCTACGTATAAAAATTTAAGGAGATGTTAAAATGTGTTTTGGTAGTGAGACTGATTTTTGTTTTCCTGTTATAGTTTTGGGGAAAAAAATGATGAGAGATGGATGACCAGCAGCATTCTTAATTTCTTGTCCTTGTGGTTCTTTGTAAGGCAGAGGAACAGGTTTTGCCTTCATTATAGAGGGCATCTGTATGAGGCTTTGTTGTTCATGAGTTTCAGTGTATGTCTCTGGGGACAAAAATGTGAGTTGCCACTGGGTGAATGTAGTGCCACCTGAATGTTGAAAAACACAACTCCTGAATCACCACCAAACCTGTTCTTCCTCCAGGGTCTCCCAAGAGAACAGGTTTGGTGGGGATTCAGGAGTTGTATTTTGTTCATGTTAAGTCTGAGATGCCTCCTAGACATTGAAATGCACAATGACCATTTCAGAATGAAGGAATTTCCAGTGGATAGTTTTTAGCAGGTAAAAGCAGCCCCACCTTATGTTCAGTGAGCACTTGTGTAAGTGCTGGGAGGCATGGTCTATGGATACTGTGAGGTCTGTGTAAGTGTGGAGAAGCTACACCTAACTCGGCCAAAGGGAGGGCTGAGTCAGTAAGGCCTCAGAGGCCTGCCCTCCCCATGTGGCACTTGGACCTGCCACTACTAGAGTGACTTGGGGGGTTTGAAGCGTGAGTGGCAGGGGAAATAGGCACATGTCAAGAACCACACTCTGCTGCTTTGCCAGTCTCCTCCACCATGCCCTGTGAAACTCACAGTCCACCAAGAGCACTCTCTTAGTTCTCTGCTCTGAACAACCACTTTGCCTGGCTTTCTCAGTAACACCATCTACCGCTACCCCCGCCCCCACCCCACACTCTCCCAGGCAGAAGCAGAGTCATTAGTATTTAGCCCTCTCACTGTGGGCCAAGTGACAACTTGTTCCTTCACTAGGGTACATCAGGACAGGGATAAGCGTTAAGCATCCCTGGTAGAGACCTGAGGAACATTGTGCAAGGCGGCCGGGGTTGTTGATAGTATCTGTATCAACTACTAATGTTTTAGTTTCGCCTCCTGGCAGGGCGAGGGTTTTAGCAGTGCCACAGAAACCGTTCTTCATTGAAGCAAATCATCTCCCAATAATGGAATCTCACTAACTTGCTGACCCAGCATTCTGTTCTCTCAGACCTACCTCATCCCTTCCCACCTTTGGAAAAAAGCTCCATTTAAGGTGAATATGCCAACAAAAAATCTTGTTGCTCAGCTCCAGAAGATTCTCTGTTTAAGATCTTCCAAATTAGCTGTAGAGAACCCCAGGAAATGATCCAGCCACATAAAGACTCACTTTTCCCACGGACCCCCAAGGAGCTCTGAAACCACCAGCAAACACCCAGTTGTTGCCTTTAGCTCCTTAATTTGACTTGGGAACTCTGAAATCCCTTAGTCATTGGTGTATTTTCAGACAATTTCAATAATCTGACCAGTCCCATCCTCTACTTGTTGCTTTTTTCTAATCTCACTCTTGAAAGAAAAGTCATGTGATAGAACCACCTTTTATTATACGACCACCACACTGCCCAGAGACAAGGCCCAAAGGAGAGCACAGAGGCTCTTGAATTTACTGGACGGTCTTTGTTGGCAAAGAGTCATAATTATAGAATCTTTTAGGTCATATTTTATCCTTCATCCAGACATCTGTAGGAGTTGGCTTCTTGGGAAACTATAACATCACTTAGCCCCTAAGCTGAATTTCTTAACCTGTAAAATGGAGTTAATAACTGGACTGCCTTGTCAAGGTGTTGGATAAATGAAATCTGTCCTAACAATAGACACTTAAATCTTGGGCCTGGGCATGGTGGCTCACATCTGTAATCCCATCACTTCAGGAGGCTGAGGTAGGAGGATTGCCTAAGCCCAGGAGTTTGAGACCAGCTTGGGCAACAAAGTGAGATGCCATCTCTACAAAAAATAAATCAGCCAAGTGCAGTGGTATGCACCTGTGGTCCCAGCTACTAAGGAAGTAGAGGCAAGAGGATTCCTCTAGCCCAGGAATTTGAGGTTGCAGTGAGCTCTGATTGTTCCACTATGAGTACAGTGGCACAATCAAAGCTCACTGCAACCTCAAACTCTTTGGCTTGATGAATGAGTGACAGAGCGAGACCCTATCTCAAAAAAAAAAAAAAGTGTAGGTGGAGGAGGAGGAGATGTATTGAGGAATTATGCAGGATTTCTAAACTTGGTTATATTACTTCCAGATCTCTATTTTCTTCATGGAGACTCTTGGAGTTTCCTTTTCTTTTTTTCCTTTTTCCTTTTCTGTTGAAATGAGGATTGTACTCTTGCTGAGTATCTTCCTAATCTGGTAGGAATCTTCTGAAACAGAAATGTAGAAGAAAATTTCCATATCTATGAAGATGAATTGAACCAATAGTTCTAAAACTTTCTTGAGGATAAGAACCTGGGATGCTTCCCATTCAGTCTCTTCTGGGACAGTGTCCTCAGTCTGTGTTTTTTAACTCAAGCTTAGGACCATGCTGGTGCAGGTGGCAGAGTTACCCTTTGAGAAATGCAAAAATCAATTCTGAAAACTGAAGGTTCATAAGCTAGTCACAGATTTGGGTGCCAAAGTTTCCATTCTAGTGTGGACGTAGTTTTTCCTTCCAGTAGGTTTCCAGGAAGAAAAGGCCCCGGTTTGAGCATGACCTGTGGGAGTGACCTGAAATGAGATGTGAGACTATGTCTCATGTTGTTGCCAAATTAAATGACCCCACTGAAGCTTGGCTGAGAGGTGGCAGGGGCTGGCTTAGGATTTGAGGACCAGTGATCCTGTGGTAGTTTCATTGGCATTAGCTTCAGTATATCAAGATATCCTCGTTTTTGAAAGTTCCTTTCTGCTGGGACTCTGCTATTTCCTGAGCCTCCAGTGTCTGTCCTGTCAGGCTGCCCCTGCCTTTGAAAAACTTGCCACTTCCAGGAATAGGGTGGCTTTGCCTGACAATACCTCAACCTGTTTGAGAAGATGGACAGGCGAGAGCGTTGGTGAGATGGCAGTGGCTCCGGGTGCGAAAGAGGAAGGTAATATGAATGCAAGTAGGAAGAAAGGAGTAAAAATGAGAAAGACCTCCAGAGCCAAGTGTTTGGAACAGCTTTGGAGATTTCCGCTTCAGTATGATCTTCACAGATTTGAAATCTTGTTAAGGGAGTCCTATTGTGGCAGCAGGTTTGTCGTTTCTGCACTGAAACTGTAAACATTTCAGTATGGGTGCCTTGTGAATAAGCAGCTTCCAGTAATTGGCTTTCTGGAAGCACAGACCCAACTCCTGGGTAGGATGAGCCATGGAGAGAAGCAGCTTACACCAAGAGTCACTTCCCTGGAGTGTAATTTCTTTAAAAAGATGCCTTTTTAGATTCAGAAAGCACAAAATGTAATCATTTCTCTTTATAAGCTAATCCACTGTTTGAGCAAAGGGTAAAATAAAAATAAGCTAGTGCAAGACCTTGTGCAACTTCAATTTCAGTGTTTCAAACTATGTAAGTATTTCTCTCCCTGTACTTGAGAAAAAGCTCTTCTCTTTCTTCATCACAGGGCTGCCGCAGGTCTCCTACTCCTGCTGGGTTCAGCCTTTTCTCAGGTTCTCTGCTTTTATTCAGAGGAAAAGTGCTAATCAATGGCTTATACCTAGTCCTGGACTCTAGCACTCTGTGCCCTTCCTTTCTAATTTCTTAAAGGGCACAAGCTCCTTTTAACATAGGAAAAACTCCGTTAGACAAAATATATAAGGTTTTCAGCACAGTGGCAATTTTCTTTTGGGGCTATAAAAGAAACCCTCTGATTAGGATTATTTTAATGGAGTATATATAACTGTAGATAAGATAAAATGCAGGCTGGGTGCAGTGGCTCATGCCTGTAATCCCCGCACTTTGGGAGGCCGAGGAGGGTGGATCACCTTAGGTCAGGAGTTCGAGACCAGCCTGGCCAATATGGTGAAACCCCGTCTCTACTAAAAATACAAAAGTTAGCTGGACGTGATGGTGGGTGCCTGTAATCCAGCTACTTTAGAGGCTAAGGCAGGAGCATCACTTGAACCCGGGAGGTAGAGGTTTCAGTGAGCCAAGATCTCGTCACTGTACTCCAGCCTGGGCAACAGAGTGAGACTCCATCTAAAAAATAATAATAAAATGCAAACTGTGTTTCAGAAAAAAAGGCAAGTTTGGTTAGCACAAAGAAACATCATTAGTGACACCTGTGTTGGCCTTCTGAGTTATGAGACTTCATATTAACATTATAACAAACTACGTATACATTTTGTGCAAGAGAAAAATTACTAAACCAGGCCTTCTTGAGTAATGCTTTAATTTTCCAGAAGGGGGACATAGATTGGATTTAACTTAAATTGAGGCAAATGGATGTATTTTATTTGGGAAATTGTTTTTTGTTCCTCCTTTGTTTTGCCTCCATAAATTTATTAATGCAGAACCTGAAGGCTGTAAACCCAGGATAATTAGAGTTACAGTGTTACAGAACATTAAAAACCCACAGCAAGTGGCTGATATCTGCCTACCATATCTGCAGTTGAAGTTCATACCATGTGTGATAATTACGAACTTTCTTTTTTGTGGGCACCTTGGTAGAAATTATTAGTATCACCTGCCATATTTTCACATGTTACTTAAACATCAATAAAGTGTACATAGTAAAGCAGATAGCTGAGGGTGGGGAATAAGTGGTTAAATACTGTGTCTGACCTGTAAAATACGCTCTAAATAGACAAAAGGAACCCCTTTGTGTGGCAGCATAGCTGGGTTTGGTTTAGTAGCAATAGTAGATTGTTAGCTTTAACTCCTCCTGGATGTCTGTGCTGCTGCCCATAGCCTTGCAGACAAGCACAGACGGCCTTTGTAGTTTCAAGGGACCATCCATTCCACATGGGACTAGAGAGTAACAAAATGACTAGGGATCAGTGCTGGTACTTCCTGGGAAGTATGTGCAGGGTGTGTGTGTGTGTGTGTGTCAGTCAAGGTCTTGCCCTGTCATCCAGGCTGGAATGCAGTGGTGTGATCATAGTTGGCTGCAGCCTTGACCTCATGGGCTTGAGCAGTCCTCCTGCCTCAGCCTCCTGAATAGCTGGGACTACAGGGAGTGCCAACACACCCAGCAAATTTAATTTTATTTTTTGTAGAGACAGGGCCTTTCTTTGTTGCCCAGGCTAATCTTGAACTCCTGGCCTCAGGCAGTCCTCCCACCTCAACCTCCCAAAGTGCTGGGATAACAGACATGGGCCACCTTACTTGGCCCTGTTCAGGTTATTTTGCCCTGATCAGTGTCTTTAAGTAGCAGAAGATACCCCCACCGTGCCCTTTTTTCCCAACTGGGTATTATCCCCAATGTATTGTTGAGAAAATCAAGACTTAAATTAACTTGCCTAGGCTCCTGTACCAGTGAGAGACAGGGCCAAGTATAAGTTTCTTTTAGCCCTGCTGCTATTCCAGATCAGCAGCTTCAGTGGACAGCTCCGCTCCAGTGAAAAACTCCGAGAACTTCCTCTCCGCCCCAGCTTTCTCTCTTTTCCTTATTTCTTGTCTTTGTTTTTAGACTGCCTAAATTTGAGGTAAAAATCAAAAAAGATTTCTGATAAGGAATATCTGAATATAAGGAAGGTACACAGAGGAATTGTCAGTTAAACTAACTGGAACAGTTTCTTTGACTAGATTTGTCGTTGTTGTCCTCTACTTTAGGAGAAGTAAAATGATACGGAAAAAAAGCTTGCTAGCAGGGATTTATTTTAAAAAGCAAGTTTTAGGCTATGTCCTGGGATCACTTTGATAAAGCCTAGTCTCTTCCTCGTGTCTTACAAGAATACTCTTAATACAGAATCATAACTCTAAGACAACGGAAAACAATCAGTTTACTCAAAACCCTGAGCTATTTACTAAAGCAGGAAGATAGCCTGTGTTCTATAAAAGGTTTCTCGTAGTTACCCATAAAATGTCATTTGGAATTAAACCCATTCCTGACCAGTTGAGATTTTGCTCTCAGTCCAAAACATTCTCTTCTGTAAATGGAATCTTTCTAGGAGAAAGTAGCATTTAGAGCAGGTGCCACGTGTGTGCTCACCTCATCAGAATCCTGCTGTGCTGGCATCCAGAGGGCTCCCTGTCCACTGTGCTGATTTACACTGCCACACACTCAGGCTCACTGCAACACATCTCACAGACCCCCTGGCCATGTGTCAGCATCAAGTCCTGTCGGTTTTACCTTCGAAGTCTATGCTGCCTCTTGTATGCATTTCCACCACCAGTACCCAAACTCTTCCATATCATCCCTAACCCAGCAACAGCCATTGTTGGCCCTGGGTTCCTGCATATCAGCTTCCCACCCTCTCAGAGTTGTGCTCCACTGTGTTGGTTCCCTACACCCTGCCTGCTTGTCCCTCCACAAAGCAGTTTGTTCCCCTTCCCCCCAGGTAGCTCTTACTCACTCTTTATGACTCAGGTCAAGCTACACTCCCTCAAGAATGCTTTCCTGACTTCCTTAACTAGGTTGGTGGCATTAAGTCTGCGCTCTGAAGTACTGTTTACATCACTGTTTAAATTTTGCTTTACCCCCAGATCATTCTGTGAGCTCCTGGAGGGTAGACACTAGGTGAACTTTTGGCTCCCCATTTCAGCCCCTGCACACAGGCATGCAATAAAAATTTGTAGAATGAATAAAAAGAAAAGATTATTATACTTCTGAAGTCGATACCATCAACTCCTAAGGGAACTTAAATATCAAAGAAAAGAGCCCTGAGAATAAAAGGCACCTTGATCACACAGTGTCTTACAACCTTTAGAGAAACCTGCATGTCAAGGGGAAAGACCAGCCTGATCAAGTTCTTATTAATTTTCATCCAACCCATGTTTCTACTTTCTGGACATGCAGTTTTATGCTGTGGAATCAGGATTGACACATTAATAAGGCAAATTAAAAGTCCCAGAGAACAGCTCGTTAGGAAGTCAAACTGCCTTCTTCACATTCAGTAGAATAACTTACACTTTATGATTCTGAAGAAGCATGGGTCTGGTGTTTTTACTTTCGTTAGCCAAGGGTTACCTTCACATTATTGCAGAGGTCCCTTCCTCATAACACAGCTCACGGGTGAGAATCTGGATTTTTTTTTTTTTTTTTTTTTTTTTTTGAGACGGAGTTTCACTCTTGTTGCCCAGGCTGGAGTACAATGGCATGATCTCGCTCACTGCAACCTCCACCTCCCAGGTTCAAACGATTCTCCTGCCTCAGCCTCCCGAGTAGCTGGGATTACAGCCATGCACCACCACACCCAGCTAATTTTTGTATTTTTAGTAGAGACAGGGTTTCACTGTGTTGGCCAGCCTGGTCTCAAACTCGTGACCTCAGGTGATCCGCCTGCCTCGGCCTCACAAAGTGCTGGAATTACAGGCGTGAGCCACCATGCCCGGCCTGAGAATCTGGATTTTTTAAAGCAACAATGGCATAAAAAGAGGTATGTGACAGAATCTTCTGGAGAAAAGACCTCCTTCCCCAGCTGCGTCTTAGACCTACTAACTTCTCATTATTTGTTTGCTCAGTGTTAAAATGAGTAAGTCCATTGTATAAAGCTGTGTGTATTCTGAATATGTTCTTTATCTGCTCAAGATTGTGGCTAATTTCTGACATCCTCTGTTTGGTAGATGAAGTACAGAAAGACAAAGAAGGACATTCTTAATGAAGGAGAAAAGTCCTTTAATCCCAACCTTTCTAACCTGATGGAAAACATCATAACTTTACTATAAACTGCAGACAGGCTGGTCCCACCTTATGGGCACAAAGACATCGGAAGGGAAATAAGGGAACGGGCTTTCTTTGTGGATCAAAACAGAATCCAAGGATGTAGCTGTTAGATGCCGCCAAAACGGCCACACTCAAGAGATTTGGACCTGGGTCAGGCTTTCTGTGCGTTTTGTACCACTTCTGGGGCCAGCTACCACCCAACCACCACTCAGCCACAGAGACACTTATTACAGGTTTATAATTTGACTTGAAAGGTTTTCCCAAAGAAACAAATACTTGTCAGGATCTGTAGCAGAGCCATGTTTTGATTGGGGCTTTTATGGGAGGAGAATGGTGATCTAAATATATAATTTTATTTCAAATTATGCTTGAAAGATGATCAGATTAAAGAAAGTTTGTGTGAGTGTTTTCATGGGCTTGTATTGGAGGGAAGCAGATGACTGGGTCCCAGGAGGCAGAGAAGATGAACTATTGGGCCCTAAGTGTGTTGTAAGGAATAGTACCATCTGTTGGACCTAAGATCCACATGGCAGCAGAGGGTCCAGAATCAGCCACAGCAGATTATTCTAGATTAATGTGAGTAGGGACAGGTTTGGAGAAGTATGGCTAGGAGCACCTGGCAGGTGACTCTGATGCAGGCAGCAAAGGAGTCATTGGTTTCCAGGTCTGCTCTCCACATAACAGAGGGCACTGTCTGTAGAGTACAACAGGCAAGCCTGTGAGGCGGTTTTTCTCATTCTAGTTGTGCTCAATATGCCATTTTGGGGCAGTTTTCAATGCTTTCGAAATCCTGCTAGAATTTAATTTGTATGCAGTTGTGTGTCATTATTAGTCCCCATTTATTTAACATCTTTTCTTGTAATGCAAAATGCTTTAGAAAGCTTTAAAAATAGTTTTAGTTTGTATTGGTCCCAGATAGGAGAATTGAGAGGGGAGATACAATGAAAGTAATAGTAAATAGTAGCTAAGAAGTGAAGTGTCCAGAGACTTGGCCAAGAACTGACCTTCCACACCGTCGGAGATGAAACATTACTGAAACATACAGCAGCTAGACTTACCAAAAAAACGACCAGCAGCAGGTGTCCAGACCCATGCAGGGTCTGCTTGTTTAAGGCAGATTGTAGGAGAGAAATTACTTAACAAAAAATTAACTTTAAACTGTTTGTCTTAATTTAATAGACTGTACTTTGTATTATATCTGATTTTGATATCAGTAATTGCCAAAGTATGACAGAGATGAATGTATGTTTTATGTAATTTTTATTTAAAAGTTCTAATAATTACATAACTTTCTAGTTTGTAAAACACTTTTATGGTTATTTTACACAGCAGCTTTAGGCAGAAGGCAAAGCAAATACTGTTATCCCCATTTTACAGATGATAAAATTGACCTGGTGACTTTTGGCTTTCACACGTGTGCTGACACCCTCAGTTTTTTTCTCCAGTAGCCCTGTGCTGCATCATACCTGGACAGTATGCACATTAGACCAACCACATTTATTCTAAAAAGCTAGTCAAGCCTGGAACTTTTGTCTTAAGTACACACAATTAGCCCTTAGCCAGTGAGTGGCTGGCTGATGTTTCATACTGACATCATAATTGATTAAGTGTGTATTTAATGGATTCAGTTTCTGAAACTGGCACTTTTGCCGGAGCAGCTGTAGGACATAAGTGCAGATTCTAAATCCATGTACCATAACTTGAGTAGCACTGAGTAAATGGACCTGAGAAGAACTGGACAAGTCTCTGTCCCTCTGAGGTTGACTGGGAAGCCTTGGTGGTACTGGGCCGTGGTGCAGGTCCCAGAGGCTGGTGCCAGAGCCCATTCCCTCAGTCTTTGTGTTAATGGCAAGTTAAAGGTTCTCCAGCCAGTCTCATGAGCTTTTCATGAAGAAACGTAAGGAGATCGTCTAGCTCTAAGGAAGTAAGGACCAAAACACCTAGGGCTATGTATGTATTGCTTTGGCTAACACTTTGAAGTAGTCTTTAAGAAGCTTGATAGGATGCAGAGTTGCATCAAAGAAATGCTCACAGGGCCTTGAAGGGTAGCTCCTTGTATGTAGCCCATCTAGCTGCCACGTAGTTGGCATTGATAGCTGGGAGGACAGCGGCTTCCATCCTAGATGTAGGAGGCATAATTAAAAGGACAAAAAACTTTTTGCTGGTGGCCAAAAATGAACACATACCTTGTTCCACATTCTCCAAGCTCCACCAGCATCAGTTTTGTAACTCATTGAAGAGTATCCTCATTAGTTGTCTTCAGGCTCTCAAGTTTGTCAGACATTGCATTCATTCCATCAGCCCACATTTACAGTGCCTATGGTGTGCCAGTCCTTGGGGGGTGCAAGAACAAGTCTCACAGTTTAGGGGAGATGGACAAACATGAGTAAGTAAATATTGTGAGCATGAGCAGAAGTGTGTGCCATGCTGGATAAGAGCCGTCTTAGGCACAGTAGTGGAGGGTAATCTGCAAGGCTTGAACAAAACCAGTTGTCATCAGTGTGCTATAATACTACTGTGACCCAGTTGCTTTGGTGTTCTGAGGCTGCTCTGAGATGCTAATTAAACAGGATGATGATTCAGGTTGCTGTTATATCTCATAAGAAAGAGCCTTTCTGTGAATGAGCAGGCATCAGGCTTGGAGAAGGCTCCCTTAAAGCTTCCCTCAGATAAGGATTAAACAACGCTAGTTGACTCAGTCCTTGCAGTTTGCTACCTCAAGTCAGCGAGCCCTGCCTCTGAGACAGTGACAAAGTCTGGTGAAAGGTTCAAGCTCTGTATCTGGGCCACTTTCCGTTAAAACATGTCCCAAAACTAATAATACCTTTTATAATTTATTTCCCAAGTTTAGAGTATCAAAAAATGTGAGGTTCTTATTAGAGTTCTTTAAAAATAGTTTTTATTCCCTTCCATAATAAAAAATTTACTATTAAAAGATTTTGAAGTTTGGGCCATTCCTTATTTTTAAAATGTGTCTTAATTTAGAAATCATGCTTGGAGCCCCCAATGTGTCTCATTCTTCCTGGGGAGCAGTATTGTATGGACTTACCTCTGCTTGGAGTGAATGTAGTAACACTGTGGTCAAAAACAAAGGACATTTAGCTGTGCAGTGACTTTAATATATTATTTGTAGCATAGGAGGATGATAATGCAAATAGCTACTCCAGGTAAAAAGTATAGAATAAAAATTTAATTAGAAATTGTACTGGCCTGGGTATTGATTTTTGGGTAGAAGGGAAAACCTTACACATGGAAGATACTATAGATAAGTATTTATATTCTATCTTTGGCACCTGGCACCTAGAAAGTACTTTTCAAATGTTGGATAGTTGAGTGAATGAAGGGGGCTAACAGGCGTCATGGTATGGTATGAAGAAAGTTGAACTTGGGGTTCAGAAGAAAAAGAGGTAAAGTTCTAAGTTCTCTTACTAGCTATGTGATCTTTAGCAGGTCACTTTGCTTTAGCCTCTTGTTTCTTCTACAAGAAAAACAGATGTCGAAGACAGACCCAGAGTTCCTTCTTTATTGATCTCCTGATGTCACAATTTGCCTAGTGAAATTGTAGGTTTCACTAGGCAAATTGAGGGAGAAATCTGTTGCATTAAAGAACCTAAGGCCAGGTGCGGTGGCTGATGCCTGTAATCCCAGCACTTTGAGAGGCTGAGGTGGGCAGATCACCTGAGATCAGGAGTTCAAGACTAGCCTGGCCAACATGGTGAAACCTCATCTCTACTAAAAATACAAAGATTAGCTGGGCGTGGTGGCAGGTGCCTGTAATCCCATCTACTCGGGAGGCTGAGGCAGGGGAATCGCTTGAACCCGGGAGGTGGAGGTTGCGGTGAGCCGAGATCATGCCATTGCACTCCAGAGCGACAAGAGCGAAACTCCATCAAAAAAAAAAAAAAAGAACCTAAAAGGAAAATGAACAATCACTTGAGAGTCTTGGGAAATCCCCGTGTATTAGTTTTCTATCATTGTCATAACACCTTACCACAAACTTGTTAATACAGTTCTGCTTACAGTTCTGTAGGTTCAAAGTCCAACACAGGTGTCTTACTGGGCTGGAATTGAGGTGTGGGCTGGGCTTTGGAAAAGTCCAGAGTCTTAGGGGAGAACATGCTTCCTTGCCTTTTAAAAATTCTGCAGCTGCCGCCCTGTCCCTTCTCCCATCTTCCAGGCCAGCAGCATTGCACCTATGACCCTGCTGGCAAATCATCAGGTCTCCCTGAAGCTGACAACTGTAACTCCCTCTGGGGGGGAATCGTTTGCTTTTATGGGCCTGTGTGATTAGATTGGGCCCACCTGGATAACCTAGCATATTCTTCCCATCTCAAGGTCCTTGACTTAATCTCATCCACAAAGTTGATTTTGTATATATAAGATCACAGGTTCTTGGGATTCTGCCTACCATATCCCAAGATCTGATTGCTCTGTAGGAGACAGAACACTGAATGGCTCTCAGGAAACCAGTAATCCAGTAATCCTAGCTCACCCAGTCATTGTGTCTCTCTGGGTTTCTTTTTTCCGCATCTGAAAAGTTGGGGAGTTGAATTAGACCAGTGGTCCTCAAACTGCATTGTACATCAGAATAGCCTGGAGGACTTCTCACAACACAGATTTAGGTGGGGCTCAAAAGCGTGCATTTCTGCCAAGCACAGTGGCTCACGCCTGTAATCCCAGCACTTTGGGAAGCCAAGGCAGGTGGATCACTTGAGGTCAGAAGTTCAAGACCAGCCTGGCCAACATGTTGAAACCCCGTCTCTAGTAAAAAAACAAAAAGTTGCCAGGTGTGGTGGTTCATGCCTGTAATCCTAGCTACTTGGGAAGCTGAGGCACGAGAATCACTTGAACATGGGAGTCGGAGGTTGCAGTGAGCCAAGACTGTGCCACTGCACTCTAGCCTGGGTGACAGAACGAGACTCTGTCTCAAAAATAACCCAAAAAACAAAACTGCATTTCTGACAAGTCCCTGAGTGTTGCTGATGCTGCTGTTCCAGGGGACCACACTTCAAAAACCACTGAACTAAACTGTCTTTAAGGATCTTTCTCTAAGTCCCTAATACAGCCTGAGAGTCTTTCCCCTTTGGATGCAATGTTATAAATTAATCATAGTGGAGTTTGCACACTGCTTGCCAGGTTGTGGAGTTGAGGTAGGAAGCAAATGGACATTGTTCAGATCTAAGCTCCACGTCTTCTCTTTCCTCTTGTAAACCGGGATGGTGATGAGGCCTGCTGTGTGGTTGCTTTTCATGAGATGGTCTTTGTAGATTATCTAGCATATGTCTGACACATGGTCATCTTGGGTCACATTTACTTAGCACTTTTGACCCAGCCACTGTTTTAAGCCTGAATTAATTCATTTAACCCTTATGACATTTCTATGAGGTGAGTGCTATTATTAGTCCCACGTCTGTAGGTTGAGGAACAGAGGTTAGGAGTTTGGCCAAGAAGGCAGAGCTAGAAAGTGGAGCCACTTACCAGGCAGTTATTTAGGTTCCAGAGCATGCATACTTAACCCTTCTACAGCAGCACCCAAGTTTCCTGTAACAAGGCTAGAGGTGGCCTGGTCCTGGGTTTGGGTGATTTAGTGCTTGACAGTGTCATGGTAGGCCCAGGTCTCTCCATCTTGCCACTCTTCTGTCCTCAGCAGGCTGGCTTTGTCTTCAGGGCTGTCCCCTCATGGTGATACTGTGGCTGCCACAGATCCCACTGTCTAATCCTCACAGAGGCTGCGCAAGAAAAATTACCTGTTCCTCCCTCTTGTCTCTTTTTGAGAGGGTGAAACTTTCATGCTTGTAATCTTAGCACTTTTGGAGGCTGAGATGGGAGAATTGCTTGAGCCCAGGAGTTCAAGGACAGCCTGGGCAACATAGTGAGACCCTGTCTCTACAAAAACATTTTTTGAAAAAGCTGGATGTGGTAGCACACACCCTGTAGTCTCAGCTACTCGGGAGGCTGAGGTCAGGAGAATCACCTGAGCCTGGGAGGTAGAGACTGCAGTGAGCCATGATTGTGCCACTGCACTCCATCCTGGGTGACAGAGCAAGACATCGTCTCAAAATATATTAAAAAAAAAAAAAAAAAGGTTGGGGGGAGTGCAAAATGTTTTCAGAAGCCCTTTTTCCTGCAGACTTTCCTACCAGAAATGCTTGACCATACCCATTCCTAAATGGCCACCACTCACTGTGATTCATCCCCCAGGGTAGGGAGGGCCATATCTTCGGGCCTCTTGAGTAAGAAAGTGGCAGCAGGAGGCCAGATGCGATGAGGTCAGGAGTTTGAGACCAGCTTGGCCAATATGCAAAACCCCATCTCTACTAAAAATACAAAAATTAGCCTGGCGTGGTGGCATACGCCTGTAATCCCAGCTACTCAGGAGGCTGAGGCAGGAGAATGGCTTGAAACTGGGAGGCAGAGGTTGCAGTGAGCCAAGATTGCGCTACTGCACTCCAGCCTGGGCGACAAAGCAAGACTCCATCTCAAAAAAAGAAAGTGGCAGCAGACATGGCTGCAGGTTGGCCACCGATGGACTACCCACACTCCCTTCTCTGAAGTTGATAGTCCTTTTGATTCTGAGATGCTCTGTGGCACTGACAAAGGTCGACAGAGTCTAGGGCTACTAGAAATGCTGTGAACTTGTCCTTGGTTTACTCCAGACCAAATGATCTTTTCTCTCTTAACAAGGGTGCGAGGGCACATGATAAACATTTACTGATTATGGGCACCCAGAAGGACCTTGATCTTCTGAGAGCAGGGCAAAGCTTTTGAAGGACTAATCTCTTCCAGCCCTTGTTCCTACCTCTTTTGTCTCTGGAGGATGCCAGAGATGATCATCCAGAATCTCAGCTCTGACCTGGAACAAGTTATTTTCCCTTTGGTGTCTCAAGAGTTTCACGTGAAGCATTAGGAGTGCCTGCCAGGTGGAATAGTGCAGAGGGCTGGATGAGATCATTCAGTCTGAGCGTGGCGAGCGCTTGGGCTTTGCTGTTGCTGGCGTTAGTGTAGTTTTCCATCAGTATCTGTGTCGGGGGCCTGAGCCAGCTCAGTGTAATTGCTTAGGGAACACTTTTATTTTTCATAGAAGCAGGAACAAGTTTCTGTCTCTTCCAGCTAGTCTTGCTGGTTGTGTGCCTCTGCTATCTGAAGAGCCAGCATCCTTAGTAGGGTCACATGTGGTTGAGTTTTATGAATGTGTTTGTTGCTGATAGGACACATTTCTTACCTGACAGGATGAGCACTCACAGCAGCCACATCACAGGGCTGACAGAGATGTGCCCCACTTTAAGAAAACCTGACCATATAAGGAGGAGTGTCTCAATTACAAAATAATGTCTCACTTAGCCAGAAATTCATGGCAGGTTTTCTGGTGCATTTAAAATAAGATTCATGTATAAAAATACCATTTGCACACAGGAGCCCATATTTTCTGAAAAGGGAAATGTATTGGGCATTTGGGGTAAGTAGATCAAAAATAAAAATAAAATCTTCTTACAAATACAAGAACTAGAAACCAAATTCCACTTCTAATTCTAAAAGGTTTATATATAACTCTACTACCTTACCCTCTCTTACCCCAGATTTTCACAGCAGAAGTAAACAGGGAAGATCTGCAGGCCGCTCACGATAGCAGCAAGGAAATGCCTGGCATAGTGTGTGGGTGGGTGGATGGCGGGGGTACCAGAGGCAGGGCTGGGGACCCCACTCTGGCATGTCCTTTATGACATGGATTGCTCATCTCACCCTGCTGTATTGTTGATTTGAGAACATTTGTGAGGCTTGGTCTAAAACATTATTGCTGGATCCCTTCCCATGGTGTGGTCAGTGAATGGCATTTAGAAATTGACCAGCTCATCCTGCCACCACGGACTCCTCTAACCACAGAGACACGTGCTGAGGTCTAACAGATGGGGACCAGGGAAGGCCTGGAGGAGAGGGCCAAATCTGGGATACTGACATGCCTGACTTTTCCCTTCCTTTCAGAAATGTTCCCACTGCCAGGAGGCAGGCGCCACCTTGGGCTGCTACAACAAAGGCTGCTCCTTCCGATACCATTACCCGTGTGCCATTGATGCAGGTAAGAGGAGACCACAGACCCTTGTCCAGAGCATCCAAAGGATTAGGACATACAGTTTGATTCTCTCTGTTGTCGTTGTTTTTTTTCTTTTCTTTTCTTTTTTTTTTTTTTTTTTTTTGTCACTTCATAAAAAAACTTCCCACCCATTAGCAGCACTCATCTCCCTTCCCTTCCCTCCAGTCCCTGGCAACCACTATTCTGTTTTCTTTTTTAAATTTTTATGATTTTTTTTTCCCTTTAAGCTCTGTTGGACTCAATCCTTTCTATCTCTGTGGGCTTTGCTGTACATTTGGGTTACTTCCACTTTTTGACTGTTATGAATAATGCTGCTATAGAACATTCACATGCAAGCATTTGTGTGAACATGTTTTCAGTTCTCTTGGATGTGTACCTGGGAGTAGAATTGCTGGATCATATGGTAACTCTGTTTAACCTTTTAAGGAACTGTCAGACTGTTTTCCAAAATGGCTGCCCCATTTTACGTTCTCAGTGGCAGTGCATGAGTGTTCTCCTTTCCCCAGGTCCTCCCTGACACTTGCTGTCATATGTGTTTCTTTTTTTTTTTTTTTTTAATTGTAGCCAGCCCAGTGGGTATGAAATGTTATTTCATTGTGGTTTTTATTTGTATTTCCCTGATGGCTAATGTCGAGCATTTTTTTCTTGTGCCTATTGGCCATTTGTACATCTTCTTTGGAGAAATAGCTATTCACATCCTTTGCCCATTGTAAAATTGGGTTGTTTATCTTTTTAATGTCAAGTTTTAAGAATTATTTGTAGGCCGGGCGGGTGGATCATGGGGTCAGGAGTTCAAGACCAGCCTGGCTAAAATAGTGAAACCCCGTCTCTACTAAAACTACAAAAATTAGCCAGATGTGACGCGCACCTATAGTCCCAGCTACTCGGGAGTCTGAGGCAGGAGAATCACTTGAACCCGGGAGGCAGAGGTTGCGAGATCACGCCACTGCACTCCAGCCTGGGCAACAGAGTGAGACTCTGTCTCAAAAAAAAAAAAAAAAAAAAAAAGAATTATTTGTAATTCTGGATATGTGGTTTGCAAATGTTTTCTTCCATTCTCTGAGTTGTCTTTTTACTTTCTTTTCTTGATAGCATCACACAGGTAATTCACCATTGGACACCAACTGGGTGTCCTATAGTTTAGCTTGGTTCTGATACTAAGCAGAGTTAGTGCAGCCCCTACAGGTTAAGGGCTCAGTCCCACAAGACCGCTCCCCACTTCATATACCAATCTCAAGCCCTGTGTTATGACCTGTGTTTCTGAGTGATCAACTATAAACTGGGGTTCCCAAGACCGCTTCCTTGGGTTTGATTAATGTTTAACATGGCTCACAGAATTCACGGAAACACTTCACTTGTGTTTACCCATTATAAAGGATGCAGATGAACAGCCACATGAAAGAAACATAGGGCCAGATGTGTGGGCAGGGGCATGGAGCGTCCATGCTCTCTCCAGGGGCACCACCCCTGAGGCACCTTCATCTACTCAGCAGTCCAGAAGCCCTCTGAATCCAGTAGTTCACGGATTTTTTGGAGGCTTCATCATGTAGGCATAATCAATTATTAACTCAATCTTCACCCCCTCTGTCCTTCCTGGAGTGGGGTGGGTAGAGCTAACAGTTCCAAGCTGCTAATCACAGCTTCGTCTCTCTGGTGCCCAGCCCCCATCCAGGAACCACCAAGAGTAGCCTTAGAACAAAAAGTGCTCCTATCCAGGAAATTCCAAGGGTTTAGGAGCTCCATGTCAGGAACCAGGATCAAAAACCAAATATTAGAAGAAAAGATGCTCCTAGCACCCCTAATTGCTCAGGAATTTACACGGGTTTTAGGAGGTCTGTGCCAGGAATCAGGGATGAAGACTAAAATATGTATTTCTTACTCTAAATCACAGTACGTTGTATACATACAATAGAGTGTTGTATTTTCTTTGCTGAGATGATAGGGGGATGTTTTGCAGTGTGTTAACTGTTGAAAGAAGGGAAACATTTTGTTAAAGAAGTGCCATCCAATGAGTGACGCAGAAGACTTGAGTTTTGACTCAGAGCTTCGATAACCTGGGAAAATCACCTTTCTTACTCTAGACTTTTAGTCCCTTCAGTGGGTGTTTTCCCCAGTTACTTTTTTGGCGGCAAGGTGGGTGTTAATTTCAAGTTTATTAAGTTTTTTACTTTTCTTTTTGAGACGAAGTTTCGCTCTTATCGCCCAGGCTAAAGTACAATGGCATGATCTCAGCCCACTGCAACCTCTGCCTCCCAGATTCAAGTGATTCTCCTGCCACAGCCTCCCGAGTAGCTGGGACTACAGGCGCCCACCACCATGCCCGGCTAATTTTTGTATTTTTAGTAGAGACGGGGTTTTGCCATGTTGGCCAGGCTGGTTTCAAACTCCCGACCTCAGGTGATCCACCCACCTCAGCCTCCCAAAGTGCTGGGATTACAGACGTGAGCCACCGCGCCCAGCGTTTTTTACTTTTTTTAATGGACAGTAATTGTAGATATGGGGTGCTCAGTAATGTTTCAATATATATATAAAATGATCAGACCTAGGTAATTAGCAAATCCATCGTCTCAAACAACATGTCTGTGTTGGGAACATTTGGTATCTTCTAGTCATTTGAAACTATACAATATAATGTTGTTAACTGTGGTTATCCTACAGTGATACAGAATACTAGAACTTATTTCTCCCATCTAGATGTAATTTTGTATTCTTTAACAAATCTCTACTTATCTCTTCCTTTCCTTTCCCCTTCCTGGCCTCTAGTATCCTCTGTTCTACTTTTTAATACTTCCGTAAGATCAGCTTTTTAAATTTCCACATGAGCGAGAACATGCAGCTTTTAACTTTCCGTGCCTGGCTTATTTCACTTGACATAATGTCCTCTAGTTACTTGAGCATTAGATGTATCTAAGACCATCACCCAGGCAGCCCCCATAATGCCTGTGGTCACGTTTGAGGAAAAGTGGTGAGAGAAGGCAGCAAGTAGCATGGTGCTTGTCATGTGCATGCCCCCTCTCTGTGCTTCCCCAGGAGAGAAGCAGGGCTGTCCACGAAGGCAGCCACGCTGTCCATAGGAGGCGGGGTTTGATTTGAATTTGATGGGAAGGGGAAGAGGGCGTGGCTGACTGCATGATGGGAACAGGCGTGAGGCATAACATACACAGAGCAGGGCCAACAGACTTGGATCAGGTCTCAGAATTCATCCTGCCCCCCCTTCCTTCCAGCGCAGCAGTTGTTTGCAGCTCCTGACTTTTGTTTAAGCATATGTCTCCATTCCTTTCACATCCTTCTTGCCCTTACCTCCCCCTTCCCTCTTTTCTCTCCAAGCTTCTGTAGGAGAAACAGTTAAAAAGAACAAGAGAGGTAGAGAAGATAATGCTGATGCCAGTTAGACTATTACAAAAGTGTGTGTATTCACACGTACATGTGGACTGAAAGGCAGCTTGATGGCCAAGGCACTATTTGATCAACGGAAAGATAGGGAATCAGAAACAGAGTGCCAGGTGTGGTGGCTCACACCTGTAATCCCAGCACTTTCGGAGGCTGAGGTGGGAGGATTGCTTGAGCCCAGGAGTTCGAGACCAGCCTGGCCAACATGGTGAAACCCTGTCTCTACAAAAAATACAAAAAATTAGCCAGGCGTGGTGGCCCTTGTCTGTAGTCCCAGCTACCCAGGGAGGCTGAGATGGAAAGACCCAGGAGGGGCTGCATGACCCTCAGTTGGGCCACTGCACTCCAGCCTGGGCAACAGAGTGAGACCCTATCTCAAAACAAAAATGAAGTAGCCTTGAAATGTCAGTTCAGGGAGTTTGGGTTTTAGTCCATCCCTTCTGTTCTCTTTTTTCCTCCAAATGTTTTCATGTTGAGTCTAAGGTGTAATTTACCCTGGGTCATGGTCTGCCATATTCTGTAGTACAGCTGTTAAATCCTTCTCTTTCAAGAGCTAACCAGTTGGGCCAGGCACGGTGGCTCACACCTGTAATCCCATCACTTTGGGAGGCCGAAGTGGGCGGATCACAAGGTCAGGAGATTGAGACCAGCCTGGCCAACATGGTGAAACCCTGTCACTACTAAAATATGAAAAATTAGCCAGGTGTGGTGGCGCGTGCCTGTAGTCCCAGCTACTTGGGAGGCTGAGGTAGGGGAATCGCTTGAACCCGGGAGGTGGAGGTTGCAGTGAGCTGAGATCACGCCACTGCACTCCAGCCTGGCAACAGAGCGAGACTCTGTCTCAAAAGAAAAAGAAAGAGAGCTAACCAGTTAACTAGGTATGGTGGTTCACACCTGTAATCTCAGGTACTCGGGAGGCTGAGGCTAGAGGATCACTTGAGGCCAGGAGTTCAAGTTCAGCCTGGATAACATAGCAAGAACAGGTCTGTTCAAATAAAAATAAGTTTTTAAAAGAGCCAACCAGTTGCCTTTTCTCATTTTCATTACCTCTAGTTACATCGTAATATTGTGTTTTCTTCCCTGTAGTCTAGTGGCCAGGAAAGAGGGGGAGCAGTAATATAAAGTTTTGTTTCTAGTTGAAAAAAATGGCTTTTTTTTTTTGTTTTTTGAGACAGAGTCTTGCTGTGTTGCCCCGACTGGAGTGCAGTGGCGCGATCTCGGCTCACTGCAAGCTCCGCCTCCCGGGTTCACGCCATTCTCCTGCCTCAGCCGCCCCAGCAGCTGGGACTACAGGCGCCCGCCGCCACGCCCGGCTAATTTTTTCTGTTTTTAGTAGAGACGGGGTTTCACCGTGTTAGCCAGGATGGTCTCGATCTCCTGACCTTGTGATCTGCCCACCTTGGCCCCCCAAAGTGCTGGGATTACAGGCGTGAGCCACCGCGCCTGGCCAAGAAAATGGCTTTTAAGTGAAAAAAAAAAAATTTTTTTTTGAGACAGGGTCTCACTGTGTTGCCCAGGCTGGACTCAAACTCTTAGGCTCAAGCGATCCTCCCAACTAGCTGGGAATACAGGCATGTACCATTATGCCCAGCTATATATGAGGATTTTTAAGTATTAAGTTTTTTTATGGTTGATTGTTAGTTTTATATTGGGAATACTGTGAGTTTTGGCTCTCCCAGTTCGCAGCTGGGTAAGAAGTGGTCCCCCACTGAGGCTGTGTTCAGGGACACATTAGGGTGTGCTGACAGGCCGGTGCCACATCCCACCCGAGCACACTTCAGCAAGGGCCCCCCTGGAGGCTGCCCCCGTTCTGCTGATAGCCTGCCTTCTGGTCCAGCTTCTAAGATGTCAAGCAGCAAAGCTCAGCCTAACATACTGCAATGATGGAAACGCTCTAGCTCAGCACTCTCCAATGTGGTAACCACAAACCAGATGTGATCATTGAGTGCTAGTGGGACTGAGGAAATGAATTTTTTTTTTTAATGTAAACTTAAGTGGCCATGTATGGCTAGTGGCTGAACAGCACAGGCTTAGAGCTACCCTCCTCAACCCAAGTTCAGGCAATATGGTTGGGATTTTTTGGAAGGGGCCATAGAGCACTGGAACATCCTCTCCTCTAGTGGAAGCTTGTGCCCAGGTTGTCACCCCAGCCCACCAGCAGAGAAGCGCAGGACCCTCATTATTAGCTGAGGACTTGTGAGTAAATGGTATCTGTCATTTTCTGTTTTGGGGCCCATCTTGGTAGCCTGCCTAGTTAAGCTGGTAGCATCTCTATTTAACAGAAGTTGGTGGCCGCGTGTCCAGCAAGACAGAGGGGTCTGGGTTGGGAGGAGTGAGGATAGGGCTGTCGGCCTCTGGCTTTGCTGCCTCTGCTGCTGTGCACTTTGCTCCTTCATGTGGAGACCTGGGACCCAGAGGCAGTTTCACAAGATGACCATGTCTTGGTCATTGCGGTCTTTTTGATGACCCAAGTCACAGTGACCCAGAGGCCTGCACTGCTCTGTGGGGATGGACGCTTGTATTATTCCACACAGTCTTCTTGGAAATTGCTCTCTGTGTATGATGTAACTTTGTATCCAGGAAACAAGTTTATTGATGGACTTTTCTTTCTAATCATAACAAAAATAAGTCCTTGGTTTGAGAATCCCTAACCTCCCTTATGGAGTAAAGAGCAGTTTAACATTTTCATCTCTGCCTTGCTGTCAACCCACCCAGATCTTTAAAGAGCTGTTGATGTCTCAGGGAAGACTTTTATTACTGGGACATCTCCATAGAAACAGAATCTTTGTTTCATGATCTGTGACTCCTGCCACCTTCCCCCCCACCTGATGTTGACCCTGCATTTCTGACATCATGGTCAGCTGTTTTGTGTTGCTTGTTATGTCATAGGCACAGGATTTGGCTCCAGGTTGGGGGGGTTACAGTAATAAGAGCATGAGCTCTGTTTTTTTTTTTTTTTTAAATTAATGTATTTAATGCAATGAGCCACAACAATTAAGACGAGAAAAAAAGGCTGTGGTAGCTCATTAATAATTCCACTGTGCGTAAAGAACCTTGTGTGGAGGGTTTTTTTTTTTCTTCTACTCTCATGAAAAAACAGCTGGGAATTCTACTTTCTGCAGCTCTCGTTGCAGTAGCATTTTAAAGCTGCTATCTCTGCTGCAGACTTTGATCTTGCTGGTGCCGTCAGAGCCCTGGATGGGTCATTAGGAAATGCCAGTAGTCTGACTCCTCCCCGGGGGACAGCCGTCTGCCTCACAGGAGCCAGTCCCAGTGCCAAGAGCCCCATATTTCCCTCCTTATGGCCCAGGAGCCTGAGCCTACCCTTCGGCAAGGCAGGGTGGGGCTGGCAGGCCCCTGTGTCCCAAGCCCTGCAGTGTGCCAACATAAGGAATAACAGTAGTACTGGGGTAGAGTGTAGGTGAATTGGAGTCTGTGTCTGCTACACAACAGATCCAAAGGACATTAAACCCTTCTTGTTTTTCCTACCTCCCTCCTTGAGCCCACCATCCTCAGCCTGGGAGCATGTGGATGCATGTGGGTATCTGAAGCTTCACAGAGCTTATAATGAGGAGCTTAGTAAATCCATTCTGCCTTTGAGCTTGAAGAGGGAAATGAAAGTGGCCTTCTCTTCTGGGGGTTGATGTTTGTGTCTGCAAGCCATCTTGTTGACTAGGCCACCTTGTAGGTCTTTTTGAGCTTGGATGATGATCTCGCAAGCTGTTTACTTTGACTTCACTATGCAGAAGTGCTGACTGCGCCCTCTGGACAGTGTAGGATGGTGCCTGGGCCTTGAAGAACACAGATTGAGAGACCTTGACTGGCTGGCCATGTAGGTGCAGTTGCCTGTTCAGAGTCCTCAGAAGAGGTTTTACTACACCTACTGCTCTTCACTCTTCCCTCCCAGCAGGGACTGGTAAGAGGAGAAGCTCCCCTGTGCCCTCCAGGTTTCTGAGCTCTCTAGCTGTGGTTCTGGCCCCTGCCAGGAACGTGAATTGTGCTTCCTGACGGCCTGTGGACATGTATGAGAACAGAGGAGGGCATTGTCTGCACAGTGTTCCTGCATGGGAGGCCTTGTCAGAGATGGACACTGCCTCAGGCAGATTGCTGTAGGAGACTTCATTTCCAGATGTATCTGGCATTAGTTTCAAGTTGTCGTTAGCGTGCATTCATAGTGTCTTACTCTTTTCTGCTTCTAACTCAGAGGGAACGCATTTCCTAACATGAGGCGTGTTTTATTAATGGTCCATCACAGCTGGTCACTGTTCTGTGGCCGTGAGGGAACTGAGCCACCTGCGCCTTTCTGATGGCACCCTTTGCTGCTCGTGTGGTCCCTGTCCTCACTGGTATAAACCCCTGTGGCGTAAGCGTGGCCCAGCCCCACGTGTGCTGTACTGTTTCTGTTTGGCCCAAACTAGAGACTAAGCCAGCATAGTGCTTGCTGCCAGAGCCCAGGTAAGAAGAGAGCATATCCCCTGAGCTCCAGTTGTCTGGCTCCTGCTGTTTATAAACTCTCTGGCAGATTGGAGCAGCGGGAGTCTTGGTCACACTATGTACTTGTGGGTTTTAAATTAACACATTTCATTTATTGCCTTGCTAGTTGCTTGCTGGGGGAGGGGCTTGGAGGTTAGTAGTAAGTTGCTGAGCTCTTGGGCCCACGGAGCCAAGAAGGCTGCCGCCCACTCTCTTAGATACTCATGGGCTCCAACGAAAGACAGGCTATGATGTTCCAGGTCTGGCCAAATATAAAAGGGTCTTCTTGATTTGTTTTAGGATACCGGGACCTGAAAAGTTTTCATGTGTATGTTCATTGCTTATTACTATTGCACTTGAAATCTGTGGGTGCACAGGCTGCTAGTCTGGATCTCAGTTTAAATTTAACAAGGATAAGTACCGTGGCTGCCTCCTGCCATGGTGCCTGGGAGCTCTCTGAGAATGTGTTATCAATATTTATTAACATTCTGCCACCGCGTTTTGCACCAGTGACCTGGCTGTCGGTCTCCAGGAGCTGTGGTGTGCAGAGTGAACTCATTAATTAGATTTCCTTGCCCTGATCCATGCACTACCCTTGTGTGAGAGCTCAGCTCACCTGGAGGCAGATGTGTCCTTGCTGCCATCCAGGATGCTGTCATCATGTTACAAGTTGGAATGAATCATTTTTCCTCCAAGGATTAAAAGCATCCTCATGGGATTTTACCTTCCTCTGAAGCATTTAGTGTGGATTATGTGATTTGTGTTGGAGGCTTCTGTGTCTCCGTGGGTCGTGGGGCAAAGGTGACAGTGGGGCTCTTGGGCCTGGCCACCTTTCTGTCTCAGACACCTGGGCATTCTCTGTACAGAGAAGAAAATACGCGTCTAGATTTTAAAGTGTTTTTACAAGGAGGCTTTGGCTTGAGCCTGAGAAATGGGGTTAGCCTAGAATCAAGGATTTTTAAAATAGCATTTATTGGTGATATCGTGGGAATATAGAAAAGATAAAATTTAAATCAGCTGTATCTTCTTACCCAAAGAGAATTATTGTTACATATTCATAGATTTCCTTTCAGTCTTTTTTTTTTTTTTTTTTTTTTTTTTTTTTTTGAGACGGAGTCTCGCTCTGTCACCAGGCTGGAGTGCAGTGGTGTGATCTCGGCTCACTGCAACCTCCGACTCTCTGGTTCAAGTGATTCTCCTGCCTCAGCCTCCCAAGTAGTTTTTTTTTTTTTTAAGACAGTTTTGCTTGCCTAGGCTATAGTGCAGTGATGTGATAGTAGCTTACTGCAGTCTGAACTCCTGGGCTCAAGCAGTCTTCTCACCTCAGCCTCCCAAGTAGCTGGGACTATAGGCAAGTGCCATCACACCCAGCCTTTCAGTATTTTTTTTTTTTTTTAATAGTGACAGGATCTCACTGTGTTGCCCAAGCTGGTCTTGACTCTTGGATTCAAGTGATCTTTCTGCCTCGGCCTCCCAAAGTGCTGGGATTACAGGTGTGAGCCATGGTACCCAGCCCCAAGTCTTTTTTTAATGCGTAGAAACATTTTAATAAAATTAGCACATTTATACATTTGTACATCCTGGTTTTTTCAAGCAGTTTTGTTTCATGGGTGTTTTCCATACCATTAACTCTTTTAAAATGTTAATTTTTAAGTGACCGATATCCATCATGTTAAGGTATCATAGCTTACTTGGGTTGTCTCTAATGTTTTCCTATTAGAAGTAAGTGTAGCGACCTGCTACCTTTATGTCTGACCCTGTCAATCCCAGCCAGCATGACCACACCTATGTCCAGCTGTGAAGTCTCCATCTGACTGTCCCCTTCTGTCTTCCAGATTGTTTGCTACATGAGGAGAACTTCTCGGTGAGGTGCCCTAAGCACAAGGTGAGTCAGAGGCCCCAAGAGCTACCAGCAGGGATGGGATCGAGGGTGGCTCCTCCTGAAAGACCTGAAGACCAGGTGTTGGTGGGCCTCACCCACACCTGTCCCCACCTGTGCCTCCGGCTGTTAGTCCCCTCCTGGCCCTGGGAGGGTGGAGGGGCATGATGCTGAAGGGAGACCCGTGGCATGGGGGCCAGCACTCGGAGTATTATGAGGATCCCAGGAGAAATGTGTTTTGGGAGAGGGGGTGTTTGTCTGTTCATTAAGAGAGGTGAGAATATCTAACTCGATCAAGCCACTGATTTCCACTTGAGGTGAATAGAACCCCAATTCACAGGTTGGCGTTTGGTAAGTCTGGTTCTAGGCCTTGAGGCCTGTGCAAAGGCATCTTCCCAGACTAGAAGTCGAGCTGACCACAAGGCTCTGGGGAAGCTCAGTCTCTTCCAGGTTGTGCTTCTGCAGAAGCAGCCTGATGCACAGTGGATGGGCTGTCTCGGGCTCCACTTCCCAGTTTATTTAGGAGGTGGTCTCGTGGTCGCTTCCTTTAGGAAAGGGTGGGAGGTAAGGGGTGAATGGTCTGTTTGTGGATACCACATATGTGTGTGGGGAGGGTGTATATGGAGAAGGAGCCCCAAGAAAGGATCAGAACGGAGACCACTGCCACCTGATGTTTCCTGCAGGGGCTGCACTGTGTCTCTGGCTGAGGTCACACTGACACCTGGTGGTCACTGGTCACTCGCAGTCTTAAATCTAGTAGGGCCGAAAGTACTAGAAGGAGGTTGTCCAGAGAGGTCTGCCCTCAAAATGCTCCTGAAAGATGCTTGCTTATGCTTTTCTTTAAAAATTATTTCTGGGGAAGGGCGGGGAGTGGTCACAGGATCTTATATTCTCTTTATTTTTACTTAATTTGCATGTTATTTTTAGAACTCCCCTTTTTAAGGGTCACATTTTGCCTCAGAAAACCCTGTCTGAATGTCTCCTGTTTGTCGGTCAGGACTGACTCTGCCTTTTCTTTCCTTTTCCATGTGCCACTCCTGTCCTCCCTTTGCCCTCCCTGATTTCTGCACTGTCCTCTCCCACCTGTCTGTCTCCTCTTGGTTTTGCCCGTGTCAGCCTCCCCTTCCGTGCCCTCTCCCCCCCTTGCAGAACAAGACCGCGAAAGGCAGCCTCAGCACAGAGCAGTCGGAGCGGGGGTGAGGGGGGCAGTGTGCTCGTGGGAATGGAAAGGACAGCAAGCACAGGTGAGTCGGGGCCACCGGGCTCCCTGCATCCTGCCCGGCTCCCAGCAGGCGTCGTTGCCTCTGCCCTCCTGCTCGCTCTATGCTCTGCCACCAGCATTTCATCCTGTGGATGACAACGCCAGGTGGATGCAGTGTTCTTCCATTGGTTACTTAGCTCCCCAGATTATCTGTGGAAAGGAGTGGGGGCTTCTAAACTGTCCACTGCCAATGGGGTGCAGGGTGACTGTTCCTGAAGGCAGCCCTTCAGGGCACAGCTGGCCAGGGGTGGCCTTGTGAGTGGACACAACAGGCTTTTAGGTCTCTTTCTTGGACAGGGCATCTCTTGCCAGTAGCCCCTGCTCTTTCCCCCGTCTCAGAAAGGGTTCCAGTCAAAGGTCTCTTCTTTTTAATTTACTACATTTCTGTAAAGCTTATGGTGTGTTTTCCTTTGAAAACAACAGAACTCTTGGGTTTTGTTATTAGAAATCTTTTTTTTCCAGTATTATGAAGGATTCCTTTTTGCAGAAGTACAAAGGAAAGAAAAATCCTCAAAGATTTAGTAGACTCTAGCATCTGATTTAATTTTACTCTTAAAAATCTCGAGGCTGGGCATGGTGGCTCATACCTGTAATGCCAGCACTTTGGGAGGCTGAGGCAGAAGGATCGCCTAAGCCCAGGAGTTCAAGACCAGCCTGGGCAACAATGAGACCCTGTGTCTACATTAAAAAAAAAAAAAAAAATTAGCCGTGCGTGGTGGTACATGCCTTTAGTCCCATCTACTCAGGAGGCTGAGCTGGGAGGATCACTTGATCAAACCTGGAGGTTGAGGCTGCAGTGAGCCATGATCGTGCCGCTACATTCCAGCCTGGGCCACAGTGAGACCCTGTCTCAAAAAAAGAAAAAAAATTCTTGTGATTGAGTTGTGCTTGCTGTGAGTTTGTGTGGGATTATTGTGGTCACGGCCCTCTTGGCAGGCATCTGTGAAAACAGGATGATAGGACTTGGGGTCTCTAGAAGCTGCAGGCCTCTGAGCTCCATGCTGCTCCTTCACCCTCCCTGCGTCACTGAGGCATGAAGGGAAATAGGTTGTAAAGAAAAGAAAACCCAAATGTACCTTGTGGCACTTGCTGCTACAGGATGGGGCAGGAGGACTAGTTGTCTCAGAAATATTCATTGAGGGGTCATTTCTCTCAAATGGGAGGACTTCTGTGTCGACCTCAGGAGTTTGACTCACACAGCTACGCTAGACGTGTCCCTTCCGGCACCACCATGTGCCTGACCACCTTCTGGAACGTGCCCTCCTCCTTGTTACCACTACTAATTTCCAGAGAAGGCCCCTCGGCTGCCACGCCATTTGAGAAGTCAAGTGGGGGCTGCTGAGTGCCTTCTTGATAGAGCGTTGAGTGTGGTGCCTTTCTCTTTCCTCTTCCGGGGAGTAGGGCTGGCAGTGAAGGGATCAGAGCAAAGTGGGGAGGTGGGTGGAAGCCATTCCATGTGTTCCTGGGTCAGAGGAACCAGATGAGCAAATGAAGCCTCTTGGACTTGGAGTACATTGCCACCATCAGCGAGTGGCTGCTGGTTTTCCAGAACCTGCTGGGCAGCACTGCCTGCTCCTTTTCCTGGGATTAGCCCTTAGGACAAGGCAGCCATTGCATTGCGTGGTTTTGAAAGGACTGTTTCTGTTGGCCCTCCTGCATGTCCCTACGCTCCTGAGGGTGTCACTGTGCCTTCCCATTGTCACCCCTGTGCCAGCACAGGCCAAGATGGTTAGAGTCAAGTTCTGTAGGGGACCACGATGCGTATTCCTGGAATGTGTCCTAGAAGACCTGGTTAAGGAAAGAGCTTAAGTGTTTTTTGTTTTTGTCCTGGAATTGCATCTGTGTTTGAGAAAAAGAAAGTTCAGGCCCTGGGCCTGGTGGACAAATCTCCTGGGGATTTTGTTCATCTGTTCCTCTCTAGTCATTCTTGGGCCTTCCTTCCTAGCTGTCAGGGCCCTTGACTCTTTTTTTTTTTTTTTTTGGAGACGGATTCTCACTTTGTCGCCCAGGCTGGAGTACAGGGGCACGATCTCGGCTCACTGCAACCTCCATCTCTGGGGTTCAGGCGATTCTCCCGCCTCAGCCCTCCCGAGTAGCTGGGACTACAGGTGTGCACCACCACGCCCAGCTAATTTTTGTATTTTTTGTAGAGATGGGGTTTCACCATGTTGCCCAGGCTGGCCTTGAACTCCTGACATCAAGTGATCTTCCCGCCTTGACCTCTCAAAGTGCCGGGATTACAGGCGTGAGCCACGGCGCCCGGCCAACTCTTGAACAGAACAATGAGCTTCATCCTTCTGGGTTGAAGCACAGTGATGAAGTGGCCTCACCCATTGAAGAGAGTCGTCTCAGGTCCATTGAGGTTGAACCATTCCATTCAGCTCTTGGAGGGAGAGGATGGACTCACTGCATCCAGTCCTGTCCATCTGAAATGTTTTTTATGTGCTGTTCCCACAAGGCATATAGCTTTTCCTGGTTTCCCAGTTCAGCAGTGACATTGAGGGTGGTCACCGTCCTTCATTTGTGGTAGAAGCCCTGGTGACTGGGGATAGAATCACACCTCTGACTAAAGGAGGACTCATCTTGGGCCCCATGCTGGGGACAGAGAGCCACCATTATTGGGTGCCCTGACAAGGCAGGGAACAGACAGCGAATGTGCGTGTGTGTCTGCCTCCTAGTGCGCCATGTTCTGACAGAGTGATATGATAGGTGCTGTGTGACTAAGATCAGACTACTCCATGTCTCTGTACTTCGGTTTCTTCTGTAAAAACAGGAATAGCAGTGCCAACCTTTTGAGATTCCATTGGGAAATGTCTCTAAGTGCCAGCACAGCACACTGGCTCTCAGCCCGTTGATCTGCCATGCCTAGCTGTGGGTTTCTCTTGGGAGTTGGAGGGGTCAAGGCAGCAGATTGGACCCTGCAGCTGTCTCTTATAGCAAAAAATACCCAAGGCTTGGGGTTAAAAGATGCCGCCCCTGCCTCCCAGCCTGTGAGGTATCTGGTACCTGACCCTCGCCAGGAGTGCGGAGGGGAAAAGTCCTTCTGCAGGCCCGTGGTTGCCCACTGTCTCTTTGTGCCAAGGGGGTTGCCTTGCTGGCTTGTGTCATTGGTTGGCAGGGCTTTTGACAGTGGAGTCCCTATACCCAGCTCTTCCTCCTGTCGTGAATTAAACAAGGAGGCCCCAGCTTGCCCTAACAGGCCCTGTGGTCCAGCACATGGGAAGCATAACCCTGATCAGGGCTAATGCTGCATCCTGGATGCTATGTACCCTGCACAGAACAGCCATGGATGGACGCTGAGCAAGGCAGGGAACGGGGCGTGGCCCCCCTGCCCCTGGAGCTGGACATCACACAGTCCATTTGTGTGTATGCATGAATGTCACATTCTAGAGTTCCCCTTTCCCCAAACTGGTCCAGAGGCAGTCCAGGGTTACACCTCCAGAGGAGAGCCTGAGTCTGTCCACTTTCCTTCCCCACCAGCCCCAGCCCAGGCATTGTGGCTGCTATAGTGCCCGCCTCCCTGCCACTGCTCAGCAGCCAAGTGCAATCTTCATTAGGCCTCCCTCCAGTCCTGTCCCTTCTCTACGTCAGAGATTCTTGTCATCTTCCACACAAAGCCCAGACATCTCACCTTGCCTTCCAGAGCCCTATGGAAGTCTCAGGTGACTCTCCAGGCCCCTGGCTGCCTCCAGCTCCTCAGGGACCAGGCTTCCTTCCTCTGGGCTTCTGCACACACAGTTCCTTGTGCTGGAAACACTTTGGCTCCCCATCTTCATGTTGAAAACAGGCTCCCATCTCCTGGGTCTCAGCTTAAATCCTACTTCCTCAGAGAAGCCTTTCCCTTTCTAAATCCTTGTCTCCATTGCCCCCCTCCTCGCTTGCAGCCATCCTAGCATCACCACAATTTCAGATCATTTACTTGTTTACTACCTGTCTCTCCACTAGACTGTAAGCTCCATTAGGGCAGGGACCACGTCTGTCTTTGCACCATCAAAGCCTAGCCCAGAGCGGGGCATGTAACTATGCTAGTGCCAAGTGAGTCTGTGTTAAAGAAATGAGTGCATCCCAGGCCGGGCACAGTGGCTAACGCCTATAATCCCAGCACTTTGGGAGGCGGGCAGATCACGAGGTCAGGAGATCGAGACCATCCTGGCTAACAATACAAAAATACAAAAAATTAAAACACTAAAATACTAAAAATACAAAAAATTAGCCGGGCGTGGTGGTGGGCGCCTGTAGTCCCAGCTACTCGGGAGACTGAGGCAGGAGAATGGCATGAACCCGGGACGTGGAGCTTGCAGTGAGCTGAGATCGTGCCACTGCACTCCAGCCTGGACGACAGAGTGAGACTCCATCTCAAAAAAAAAAAAAAAAAAGAAAGAAATGAGTGCATCCCAGGGAAAAAAGGGCTCTTGGACCCTGACCATCGGTGCCCTTAATCAGTATAGATTCAGAATTAGGTTTCCCTTCATATCCTCCCTCTCTAGTCGGAATTAGTGTCTGTTTTAGAAATGAGGAAATGGGCTCTGGGCGAATCCTGGCCAGGGTGAGTGGTGTTGAGATGATGAGTTTTTGCTGCAGTTGGGAAAGGCAGGCTTGGAGTCTGATGTGGAAGGACGCGAGGATGGCGTCCCGGGTTCAGGCCACGGATGAGGCCAAAGGGGAGCAGAAAGGACAGTGTGAGCGAGAAGGGAAGGGAGGGAACAAGTGAGGGAGCCTGGGAAGGTGTTGGCCCAAGACGAAACCCTGGATGCTGGCAGCTGGGGAGCAAGGTGATGTTCTTTAAAAGAGAATTCACAGTCTTCAGCACAGGGGCGGCAGGTCGCTCCTGCTGCTCAGGCTGGCTGGCACCAGGGCTGCTCCCAGGCTCACTGTCGGGGACCCAGCCGTCTCTCAGCCACACCCCATGCCCTAGCATACGCAGCCCCTAGGGCCCAGTTGGGAAAGCCCCAGTCCCACCTCTGGCCACGTCGCTTTGGGCTACATGTGTCGCCTTCCTGAGCTTTAGCTCTCTTGAAGATGGGGGTCAGGCAGATCCACGTTACTGTGATATAATATCTGTAAAGCTTCTAGCCCAGGGCCTGGCACATAGTGCTTAGAGAATTTTCCTTCCTTCCTAATTTCCCTACTGAAGGAACAACTTTTTTAAAGTAACTCTTGAAAAGTTAGGGTCCCATTACATTCAGGATATCGTGTGTTTGGGCTGGTCTAGTCATCAGACCTGAGGAACACGAAGGCTATAGAGGGCAGAGCCCCAGGCTGCAGGTGCTGAGGAACTGCCGCTGCCTGGGCCACCACGCGCCCCAGGGAGGGGCCCACAAGTAGCAGCTCGCAGAGCCAACTGGCCAGGCAGACCCTGGCTGCTGACATGTGCTTCATTCTTCACTGGGGAGCTGGTGTGGGGTCCTGTTCTTCTGAGTAATGAGCAAGATTGGGGTGCAGGCCCAAGACTGCTGTGTATTGGTAAAGAGGGCAAACCCTGCCCTGTCCCCTCCTTGAGCAGAGCCTGGCAGGGTACGTGTGGGCATTGGCCTTGATTCACACGGGCATCCTGCAGCCCCAACAAGATGACACCCTTCTGTGTTCTTGGAGGTAGGTGCCCATTAGCTCAACTGCTGGCCTGCATTCCCAGGGCTTGCTTTTACTTGTCTGTGGTGATGTTGTGCCATGGCCTCTGTGTGTGTTCCTGCTTATTGGTGTTTTCTGCCAAGTAGTCAGGAACCTCCTTGGGCAAGAGCATGTGCATGTACGTGCTTGGGAACAGCTCAATCTTAGCTCCCGCAGGCCCCAGCCGCCTTAGCAGTTCTGCGTGTGTGAACTTTATGGAAGCAGAAAGGGCTGGTGACACTTGGGTTCTTGGGGTTTGTCAGGGGAGGGCACCAAATTGGTCTTGAGGAAGCAGTTAGGTGAGCCCCAGTGACAGTCTTAAGCACAGTGATTGGCAGATAGCAAGTGAAGGAGGGGCAAGGCTGCCACCACTTCTGGCTTCTGGTGAAATTTTACTGGACTGATTCCTAGGAAACTGCTGTTTGTCTTTGAGACCTTTCCACATCAGATGGCCCATGAAGCGTTCCACAGGGACCTTTGGTACAATCCATCTGTCCTACGTGGGCCATCAGAATCCCCTTCTGCACATGGGCTGGAAGAGGAGAGAAGCCCTCCAGCCTGGGGATGGGAGACCTAGGGGTCTCAGGTTCCTGAGAGGTCGAAAGGATTAACATAGTCCAGCTCTGTCTGAGCCTCAGAAAACCTGCCCTCCCTGTTAGAGGCCATGGGAAGAGTGTTCTTTTTAAGCATGAAGAACTGACTGTGGGCCAGGTGTAGTGGCTCACGCCTGTAATCCCAACACTTTGGGAGGCCGAGGTGGGCAGATCAGCTGGGGCCAGGAGTTCTAGACCAGCCTAACATGGCAAAACCACATCTCTCCTAAAAATACAAAAATTAGCCGGGTGTGGTGGCGTGCACCTGTGATCCCAGCTATTTGGGAGGCTGAGGCACAAGAATCACTTGAACCCAGGGGGCAGAGGCTGCAGTGAGCCAAGAGCACACCACTACACTCCAGTCTGGGCAATAGAGCAAGACTGTCTCAAAAAAAAAAAAAGACTGTCATTAGCCAAGCATGGTGGCGTGTACCTGTAGTCCCAGCTACTTGGAAGGCTGAGGTGGGAGGATTGCTTGAGCCCAGGAGGTCAAGGCTGCAGGGAGCCAAGGCGACAGAGCGATGTCTTGTCTCAAAAACAAACAACTAGCTGTGTTGACTAGAGGCAGCTGTGAAACTGTCCTAAAAGGCTGGACTTCGAGAAGTTTCTTCCACAGATTGACCAGGTACTGTAGGTTTCAGTCACAACTGGGGTCCTGACACTGGCAAAACCCCACCAGCTGCCCCACAAGTGGGGCCTGCCCTGAGGTCAGGGAGTTCTCTGCTGTACTGGTTCCTTTATGCACTAGGAAGGCAGACATGCCCTGAGGAGCCCTCAGAGTCCAACCCCAGCACCCCCACTAGGTCATTGCTGCCTTTAATCACATTCCAGATCCAGAGCCACACAGTGGCCCTGGCATTGGTCTCGGGTGTGTCCCATATCAGCAGCACATCTGCAGAGGGGCGTGAGTGCAGGCTCCCTGCTGAAAGCTCCCAGGGGTACCACGGAACAGCGGCTGTTGGTGGTGGACCCTGTGGAGGCTCCTGGCCTTCACTGTGTGTCCCTTGTCTTCCAGGTGAGACTGTGGAGATGAGAAGGTGGTGGACACTCGTGATGGAATGGAAATCGTCCTACCGTGCAGCCACACCCTGCCCTGCCCCGCCCCGCCCCGCCCGCGTGCCTGCCCATGCCAGCACTTCCTTAAGTTCTCACATCACACTCAAACCAGTGACACCACAGGAAAGAAAGACCCAAGACGTTGGAATGGCTGTTTCCATGGACACAATCTCCATAGTGACAATGTGGGGGGAGGGGGGAGGGGTGGGATGATGGGGAAAGGGTGGGGGGAATTAAAAGGGAGGGATAAATATATATATATAAATCTATTTTTAGTCTGGAAAGACTTTGTTTAAATGAAAGGTGCGCTATCCCTTTTGATTCTGTTTTAAAATTATCTCGTTAAAGATCTCCAAATTTGTTCCGATGACAAGTGAAATTTAAATGTGAGATTGAACTGAACAAACCCTCATCTCATGAAGGACGGGGTGTGTGTGTGGCGTTGATCTTTAGCCTGTCTCACACCAGTTCAGAAAACACTAGACCCAGGATTGAAAAAGCAAACCACAGCAGAACCATCCTTTTGTCATTAATTTGTCTCAAAGTGGGAAGGTTTTGGGGGAGGGGGAAATACAGGGATGGTCCATGTTTTCAAGAGTAGGGGAATGATGTTTAAACACAAAAATAAATTTTTTTTCATTTCCAGAAACACTATTTATTTATGGTTTTTTTTTTTTAATTTTTTCTTTTTGGGGGTGAAATTGGCAGATGCCTGAGGTCATAGCTGTGTCCTGGGTCACTGTGGCTGGTGAGGACCTCAAGGACCCCATCAAGTGTACACAGCAGCAGCAAAATCAAGGGATGACCCTCCTCTGGGGCCCCCTGTCCTCAGCACATTCCAGGCAGCTGTGCCCTGACCCACAGGGACCCGTGGGGATGGGAGGAGGTCCAGGCCTGTGTTGCCAGAGCTGGCAGTGTGAGCTGTAGGCAGGGACGGGGAGGGACTGTCGCTGTGATCAGAGTGGGTTAAGCTGACCAGGAACACCCATTTAACCCCTTTTTCTTTTTGCTTTCATTTTTATAAAGGAAAAGAGGACCTGTCAGATAGGCAGCCCCATGCTACGTGATTCTTTATGTTGTGTTGTTTTGTTTTGTAAATTGTATAATTTTTAAATATCTGAGTTTTAAAAAAAGAAAAAAGTACAAAAAAATCTTGTTATGGCCTTAAGAAGGGGTTAGTGCATCTTTCAGGGGTCACTCTGCCATGGGGATAAAATAGCTGTTTCACAAACAGTTTTATTTAAAAAAACAAAAAACAAAAAAAATCAAAAAATCAAAAAAATAATAAACTTCATTTTAACCTTGTTTCCTCTTCTGTTTACTTTAAAGTGAATGCGTCTCTTCCTTCTCCCATTCTAACCCCCAAAGGGTAGCTCTGGTTCTCCAGAGGAGGCCATGATCAGAACCTGTCTGTCCCATTCCTGGCCTCTCGATGGCCACGCAGCCGGGAAGCAAACAAAATTTAGGGTTCTTCTGCCACTCCTCTGGGCAGGTGGAGTGTGGCCAGTGTATGGGGACAGTCAGATTTACTCAAGTTGATATGAAGACATATTTCCAATCAACATTAAGGGTTATAAAAAAATAATGGAATGTTAATGGACTTTTTTAGAGAATGGAAATACTGGAAGGAATATTGTGAAGCAGAAATAAGCAATTATAAATGAGTTCTGTGTTCATCAATTTGGGGCAGCAGAAATGGCAGATTAATTGTATTTTAATGGCTACATCAAGCAGTCCATTTCTCATTTCACTCCGCCAGGATGGAGGTGTGGGTGGGTGCGCCGTGCCGGCCGTAGGACCAAGCTTAGGCAACTGAACAGGACCTGCACAGAAATGATGGCTTTTTTGAGCTAGTTGTTGTCTCATTCTGGTCTTGACTTGGCATTAATACAGTTAAAATGAAATGGATAGACTTCAGGTGTCAAGGGCTAAACCACAAAACTTGAAAAATATGTATCTTGAGGAAAATATTTTCCTGACAGCAAATGTTTGTCATTTTGTCTTTTATTCTTTTGTCCCCTTTTGATTTGCCTGAGTGGAGCACTTGTGATTGTTCTAGGTCTTTCCTTAAATTGGCTTCAGTAATGACCTTCACTGGGGAGTGGCAGTGATACACGCATGCCTCCTGACTCCAGTTTCTGGCTTCTGCAGTTCTCCTCAACTGCTCAAGTGCCTTTTAGTTCCTTTAGTGTTTGTCTTAATTGATTTTTTTTAAAGTAGTTTTATGTTCACAGAAGGATTAAGCTGACGGTACAGACAGTTCCCATATAACCCCTTCCCCCCGTATGCATACCTTTCCCTCTATCAACATCCCAACCAGAGTTGGCATACTGTTTTCACCCAAAGTCCATAGTTTATACTAGGGGCCACTCCCGGTGGTGTACATTTTATGGCCTTTGACAAATGTATAAAGACCTGGATCTGGCAGGGCGTGGTGGCTCTCGCCTATAATCCCAGCATTTTGGGAGGCTCAGGTGGGTGTATCACTTGAGTTCGAGAACAGCCTGGGCAACATGGCGAAACCCCATCTCTACATAAAAATACAAAAATTAGCCAGGCATGATGGTGCATGCCTGTAGTCTCAGCTACTTGGGAGGCTGAGATGGGAGGATCACTTGAGCCCAGGAGGTCGAGGCTACAGTGAGTCGTGATCGCGCCACCACACTTCAGCCTGGGTGACAGCAAAATCCTGTCTCAAAAAGACGAGGACGCACCATGATCCAGAGTAGTTTCACTGCTCCAGGGATCCTCCGTGTCCCACTGTTCATTCCTCCTTAGCCCCAGTCCCTCACCGCTGAGCCTTTTACTGTCTGCAAAGTTTTGCCTTTTCCAAAGTATCATATAGTTGAGATTAGATAGTAGGTAGCCTTTTTTAGATTGGCTTCATTCACTTAGTAATGTGCATTTAAGGTTCAACCGTGTCTTTTCATGACTTGATAGCTTGTTTCTTTTTAGTGATAAATAATTCCATTGTCTGGCTGTACCACAGTTTATCCATTCAACTGCTGAAGAACATCTTGGTTGCTTTCAAGTTTTGACAATTACAAATGAAGCTGCTGTAAACATCCCTTTGCAGGTTTTTGTGTGGACATAAGGCCTCAACTCCTTTGGGTAAGTACAGGAAGCACGATTGGTGGATTGTATGGTAAGAGTATGTCTAGTTTTGTAAGAAATTGCCAAACTGTCTGGATCACCTGAGGTCAGGAGTTTGAGACCAGCCTGGCCAACATGGTGAAACCCTGTCTCTACTAAAAATACAAAAATCAGCCAGGCATGGTGGCTCACGCCTGCAGTCCCAGCTAAACGGGAGGCTGAGGTGGGAGGATTGCTTGAACGCAGGAGGCAAAGGTTCCAGTGAGCTGAGATCATCGTGCCACTGCACTCCTAGCCTGGGTGACAGAGTGAGTGAGACTCTGTCTCAAAAAAAAAAAAAAAAAAAAACTGAGAAAAGGAAAAGAAATTGCCAAACTTTCTTCCAAAGTGTCTGTACCATTTTGTACTCCCACCAGCAATGAATGAGTTCCTGATGCTCCACATCCTTGCCAGCATTTGGTGTTGTCAGTGTTCTGGATTTAAGCCATTCTAATAGGTGTGTATATAGCCATTTATTTTTTTAATACTCATAAAGTTTTTAAATTGTGGTTAAAAAAATGTACCATCATAACAGTCACAGTACAGTTTAGTGGGAAATGTGTTCAGATTGTTGTGCAACCAATCTCCAGAATTTTTCATTTTATAAAACGGAAGCTTTACCCATTAAACTGCCCCCCTGCAGGCTGGCCCTGCCCCTGGAGCTTTCCATTTCTGTTTCTAGGGTACAAGCAGCCCTCGATACCCACAGGCTCCGCATCCACAAATTCAACCACACATCAAAGATAACTTGAGAAAGTATAACAACTAAAAATACAAATAAGAGCAGTACAGTATAGCAACTATTTATGTAGCATTTACACTGTATTAGGCATTATAAATAATCTAGAGATGATTTAAAGTATACAGGAGCATTTGCATAGGTATACTATGCCATTTTACATAAGGAACCTGAGCATCCTTGGGTTTTGGTATTTACCGGGGGTCCTGGCACCAATCCCCTCCAGGATACCCAGACACAACTATTCCACTGCCCATAACCCCGTCCCCTTGCAGCTGTGGAAACGCAGAGGTGCTGCTCTGAGGGCAGACAGACCCCACCACTCAGCACTCTTGAGTCGGACCCAGCAGAAACCCATCCCATGGGAGGAGCTGGGAATTGGAGGGTCTCTCCCAGTAGCATTGCTATGCCTGGCAGGGGGAAGGGCAAGAACAAGCAAAATGCTCCAACTTGACTACCCTTCCCAGTGCAGTCCCTCCCTGGCTCTGCACTAGCTGGCATTGCAGCATCCTAACTAGTTTCTAGAATTCTCACGATGTTTTGGTCTCCTATAGCTTTAACATTGAGCTCTCTAGGAGAACGAGAGCCCGCAGTTTCCTAGTCTACCACTTGCTGACATATTTTCACACCATCTCACTTGGCAACGTCCATAGGGCCTGCCAGGGCACAGTGCACTTTTTACCATGACACAGCAGTACCACTGTTCAGGGAAGGCAGGTTGGATCTGTTTCCTAAAAATAATAAATCCCAGAAACATCTATACTGACCATTAATAGAATGTAATGTCCAAACAGTATAGAATAGTAGCTCAGCATACACATTGGATGTGGACTCCTAACACCGCTGTGTGACTTGAACCTTGTTATGTGATCTCTGAGCCTCAGTCTCTGTGCCTTGGGGACCATAAAACCACCTCCTTAGGGGGCTGTGGGAGGATTAATGAGCTAGAGCACACAGTCTGACCAGCAGTTTCTGGCACATAAGTGCCCGATCAATGGAAGCCACAGGTGCACAATGATTGGAAAAGGCCACAGGCATTGTTATTAAATGTTTTCCTCATGCTGCCATATCTTGAATTACAGGCCTCTGGCTGGTAAGGAGGGCACTCGGGAGGACACTGCCCACATTGCAGGCATGCCTGTCCCTGCCCTTCACACCCCCATCATGATTCATGATGACTGCTTGGGGAGGGCCTGCCACCTCAAAAGGCCAAGAGTGCATACAGGTAATGTATAAAGGGCCACCATGTAACAAGCACCCAGACCATCCTGCTGTCCCTGCACCTTGATTCTCTCACAGTCCCAAATAGAACAGTGCTGCCATGTAGGACAGGAACATTCATTCAGCTGAGGCCAGTTTGGGAGACCACAAGCCAGATCTGAGAAGTCCCCAGATAGGCATGGGTCTTGCTCTCTCTGTCAGTTGAGTAGCTTCAAAACTTCTGTTGGGCCAGGTGGCTCATGCCTCTATTTCCAACACTTTGGGAGGCCAAGGCAGGAGGATCACTTGAAGCCAGGAGTTCCAGACCAGCGTGGGCAACATAGTGAGGACCCATCTCAACAAAAAAATTAGCCGAGCGTAATGATGTGCACCTGTAGTTCCAGCTACTCGGGACGCTAAAATAGGATCTCTTGATTGAGCACAGGAGTTTGAGTGAGCTATGATCACAGCTCTGCACTCCAGCCTGGGCAACAGAGCAAGATCTTGTCTCTAAAAAATATATATATATTTTTAAATTTTAAATAAACTGTTCTCCCTGCCTTTTGTTCCCCAGATCCAGTCTTCATCCAGACCTGAAAAGACCCAGGCTCCAGCTGCTGGCCTCCTGCTGCCCCTCAGGCCACCTGCACAGGAAATTCCAGGGGTGGGTTGGTCCCACTGCCAGTGCCGTGGCCTACAGTGCTAGGCAGCCCCTCAGTCAGCTAGACAAAGTTCTCCATGAATCCTTCCCAGAAAGTCCTGTTCCAGCCTGGGACAACGTCCCCATGGACCCTCATGGCACTGCTGGCTTGTCATGTCAGCTATGTTACCTTCCTACTCCCCGTGGTCATCATTACGTTGGGGCATTGACTCACAGCCTTACCACCATGCTCCCAGTACACAGCTCAGCACCCAGTACAATCCATACCTCCAACTTGGGTGGAGCTCCCATGCCAGGCCACCTCTCGCCCACCACCCTAATCTGGGTAGGCAACTAGAGCGAGCAGGGGCAAGGACCTCTGCAGCAGCCCATACCCGCCCTGGCCTGACCCTGCACCCACTGGCAGCACAGTCAACACAGCAGGTTGGCTCACAGCAGAAGGCAAAGGCCATCATCAGCTCCCTTTATAAGGGAACGGTCATGCACTGGGTGTGCTGAGAGTGTCCTGCCTGGTCCTCTGTGCCTGGTGGGGTGGAGGTGCCAGGTGTGTCCAGAGGAGCCCAATGGGCAGTGAGGCAGCCATGGGGCTGGATGCACTGGTGCCCCTGGCAGTGACAGTGGCCATCTTCCTGCTCCTGGTGGACCTGATGCAGCAGCACCAACGCTGGACTGCACGCTACCCGCCAGGCCCCCTGCCACTGCCCGGGCTGGGCAACTTGCTGCATGTGGACTTCCAGAACATATACACCTTCAACCAGGTGAGGGAGGAGGTCCTGAGGATCCCCCACCACCAGCAAACATGGGTGGTGGGTGGAGCCACAGTCTGGACAAGAAGCCAGGCTGAGAAGGGGAAGCAGATTTGAGGGACTTCCTGGGGGAGGGCATTTATGCATGGCATGAAAGATGGGATTTTCCAAAGGCCAAGGAAGAGTAGGGCAAGGGCCTGGAGGTGGAGCTGGACTTGGCAGTGGGCGTGCAAGCCCATTGGGCAGCATATGTTAGGAGCACAAAGTCCCCTCTGCTGACACCAGAAGGAAAGGCCTTGGGAATGGAAGACGAGTCAGGGTCCTGTGTGCCGTTTAAATCAGGAAATCAGGCTGTGCGTGGTGGCTCACGCCTATAATCCCAGCACTTAAGGAAGCCAAGGTGGGCGGATCACCTGAGGTCAGGGGTTCCAGATGAGTCTGGCCAACATGGCAAAAACCGGTCTCTACTAAACATACAAAAAATGAGCTGGGCACAGTGGTGCACGCCTGCAATCCCAGCTACTTGGGAGGCTGAGGCAGGAGAATTGCTTGAACCTAGGAGGCAGAGGTTGTAGTGAGTGGAGATTGTGCCATTGCCTTGCAACCTCGGTGACACAGCCAGACAATGTCTAAATAAACGAATAAGAAATCAGGCCGGGCGCGGTGGCTCACGCCTGTAATCCCGGCCCTTTGGGAGGCTAAGGCGGGCGGATCATGAGGTTAGGAGATCGAGACCATCCTGGCTAACACAATGAAACCCGTCTCTACTAAAGATACAAACCAATTAGCCAGGCGAGGTGGTGGGCACCTGTAGTCCCAGCTACTTGGGAGGCTGAGGCAGGAGAATGGCATGAACCCATGAGGCAGAGCTTGAAGTGAGCTGAGAACACACCATTACACTCCAGTCTGGGCGACAGAGCGAGACTCTGTCTCAAAAAAAAAAAAAAAAAAAAAAAAAAAAAAAATCAACGGCTGGGCGCGGTGGCTCACACCTGTAATCCCAGCATCTTGGGAGACCAAGGTGGGGGGATCACAAGGTCAGGAGTTCGAGACCAGCCTGGCCAACATGGTGAAACCCTGCCTCTACTAAAAATACAAAAATTAGCGGGGCACGGTGGTGGGCACCTGTAATCCCAGCTACATGGGAGGCTGAGGCAGGTGAATTGCTTGAACCCGGGAGGTGGAGGTTGCAGTGAGCCAAGATCGCGCCATTGCGCTCCAGCCTGGGTGACAGAGCCAGACATGGTCTAAATAAATGAGTAAGTTAGAAATCAAGGATGAAGGGATATAGTGGACCCGGTTCAAACCTTTTGCACTGTGGGTCCTCGGGCCTCACTGCTCACCGGCATGGACCATCATCTGGGAATGGGATGCTAACTGGGGCCTCTCGGCAATTTTGGTGACTCTTGCAAGGTCATACCTGGGTGACGCATCCAAACTGAGTTCCTCCATCACAGAAGGTGTGACCCCATCCCCGCCCCAGGATCGGGAGGCTGGGTCTCCTCCTTCCACCTGCTCACTCCTGGTAGCCCCGAGGGTCGTCTAAGGTTCAAATAGGACTAGGACCTGCAGTCTGGGGGGACCCTGGCCTGATGGAGGCCCTGACCCAACGGAGGCCCTGACCCTCCCTCTACAGCTGCGGCACCGCTTTGGGGACGTGTTCAGCCTGCAGCTGGCCTGGACGCCGGTGGTCGTGCTCAATGGGCTGGCGGCCGTGCGTGAGGCTCTGGTGACCTGCGGCGAGGACACCGCCGACCGCCCGCCTGCGCCCATCTACCAGGTCCTGGGCATCGGGCCGCGCTCCCAAGGCAAGCGGCGGTGGGGGACAGAGACTGCGTTTCCGTGGGTCCTGGGTGGGCGGTGACCGTAGCCCAAGCTGGGCTGAGAGGGCGCGGGGTTGTGGGCCAGTGAGTGGGTTGGGGACAGCGAGCCAGGAAACCACTTCCATTGGGGAGGTGCGAGTCTGTGGGCGGGAGGAAGAGGGGCTTGTGAGTGGGCGGGGCAACTGCCGAGACCCACCAGGAACCGGGTGGGCGGAGCTGGCGCCTTTCCCAGCTGGAAGCGGGTGTCTAGAAGCCGGGATGGACTCTGCTGTGGGCTCAGTATGGGCGGGGCGGGACGGGCGGGATCTTCCCTGAGTGGAAAGGCAGTCAGGGTCGGAAGAGCCAAGGTGGGGCCAAGACCCAAGCAAGGTGAGTGAGCAAAGAGCAGGCCCTGTGCCCAGCTGGACAGGGCCAGGGACTGCGGGAGACCAGGAAAAGCACAGGGTTGGAGTGGGCGGCGGAGGGCGGGGCCAAGGCCTCCATGACCACGCCCATGTGTCCGTCCCGCCCCCAGGGGTGTTTCTGGCACACTACGGACACGCGTGGCGCGAGCAGAGGCGCTTCTCCGTGTCCACCTTGCGCAACTTGGGCCTGGGCAAGAAGTCCCTGGAGCGGTGGGTGACCGAGGAGGCCGCCTGCCTCTGTGCCGCCTTCGCCGACCAAGCCAGTGGGTGATGGGCAGAGGGGCACAAAGCGGGAACTGGGAAGGTGGAGGACTGGGAAGGCGACCCCTGACCCGCATCTCCCGCCCCCAGGACGCCCCTTTCACCCCAACGGCCTCCTGAACAAAGCGGCGAGCAACGTGATCGCCTCCCTCACCTGCGGGCGCCGCTTCGAGTACGACGACCCTCGCTTCCTCAGGCTACTGGACCTAGCTCAGAAGGGATTGAAGGAGGAGCTGGGCTTTCTGCGAGAGATGTGGAGCGAGGGACCGCAGGGTCTCTGCAGGGCGAGCTCCTGAGAGGTGCCGGGACTGCAGCCGGACCTCCAAGGAGCAGGGTTTGCATAGAGTGGTTTGGGAAAGGACATTCCAGAAGAGCTCACTGCTAGAGGAAGGGCCTTGAGGAGGAGGAGACATCTCAGATACGGTCGTGGGAGAGGTGTGCCCGGGTCAGGGGGCACCAAGAAAGGCCAAGGACCCTGTGCCTCCTGTCCACATTGGAGATTTTGATTTTTAGGTTTCTCCTCTGGCAGCCCAGGGCAAGGAGAGAGGGTGGAGGCTGGCACTTGGGGAGGGACTTGGGGAGGTCAGTGGTGGGGACAGGCAGGCCCTGGGTCTTCCCTGGAGGCAGCTGGGGCCTGAGACTGGTCCAGGTGAACGCAGAGCACAGGAGGGATTGAGACCCCGTTCTGTGTCAGCTGTAGATGCTGAATGTTGTCCCCCTCCTCCTGCGCATCCCAGGGCTGGCTGGCAAGGTCCTACGCTCCCAAAAGGCTTTCCTGACCCAGCTGGATGAGCTGCTGACCGAGCACAGAATGATCTGGGACCCAGCCTAGCCACCCCGAGACCTGACTGAGGCCTTCCTGGCAGAGAAGGAGAAGGTGAGAGTGGCTGACACGGTAGGGACCAGGGGTGGTGGGTTGAGCGTCCGGGAAGAATGAGGCAGGCAAAAGGTGGGTCCATTGGATCACTTGGCAAGTGGCACCTGGGCTGACAGGTGCAGAATGTGGAGGTCATTTGGGGGCTCTCCCGTTCTGTCCCCTGAGTACCCTCTCAGCCCTGCTCAGGCCAAGGGGAACCCTGAGAGCAGCTTCAATGATGAGAACCTGCGCATAGTGGTGGCTGACCTGTTCTTTGCCGGGATGGTGACCACCTCGATCACGCTGGCCTGGGGCCTCCTGCTCATGATCCTACGCCCGGATGTGCAGCGTGAGCCCAGCTGGGGCCCAGTGCAGGGGGCAAGGGAGGAAGGGTACAGGTGGGGGCCCCTGAGCTTAGCTGGGACACCCGGGACTCCAAGCACAGGCTTGGCCAGGTTCCTGTAAGCCTAACCTCCTCCAACACAGGAGGCAGGAGAGTGTCAGGGCTGGTCCCCTGGGTGCTGACCCATTGTGGGGACGCGTGTCTGTCCAGGCCGTGTCCAACAGATCGACAACGTGATAGGGCAGGTGTGGTGACCAGAGATGGGTGACCAGGCTCGCATGCCCTGCATCACTGCCGTGATTCACGAGGTGCAGCGCTTTGGGGACATCGTCCCCCTGGGTGTGACCCATATGACATCCCGTGACATCGAAGTACAGGGCTTCCGCATCCCTAAGGTAGGCCTGGCACCCTCCTCACCCCAGCTCAGCACCAGCCCCTGGTGATAGCCCCAGCATGGCCACTGCCAGGTGGGCCCAGTCTAGGAACCCTGGCCACCCAGTCCTCAATGCCACCACATCGACTGTCCCAGCCTGGGTGTGGGGTGCAGAGTATAGGCAGGGCTGGCCTGTCCATCCAGAGCCCCAGTCTAGTGGGGAAGGCAGACCAGGACCTGCCAGAATGTTGGAGGACCCCAATACCTGTAGGGAGAGGGGGTAGCGTGGGCGCTCCCAGGAGGTGTGACTGCGCCCTGCCATGGGGTCGGAGAGGGTGCTCTGGAGCTTCTCGGGCACAGGACTAGTTGACAGAGTCCAGCTGTGTGCCAGGCAGTGTGTGTCCCCTGTGTGCTTGGGGGTCCCAGCATCCTAGAGTCCAGTCCCCACTCTCACCCTGCATCTCCTGCCCAGGGGATGATGCTCTTCACCAACCTGTCATCGGTGCTGAAGGATGAGGCCGTCTGGGAGAAGCCCTTCCGCTTCCACCCCGAACACTTCCTGGATGCCCAGGGCCACTTTGTGAAGCTGGAGGCCTTCCTGCCTTTCTCAGCAGGTGCCTGTGGGGAGCCCGGCTCCCTGTCCCCTTCCGTGGAGTCTTGCAGGGGTATCACCCGGGAGCCAGGCTCACTGACGCCCCTCCCCTCCCCACAGGCCGCCGTGCATGCCTCGGGGAGCCCCTGGCCCGCATGGAGCTCTTCCTCTTCTTCACCTCCCTGCTGCAGCACTTCAGCTTCTCGGTGCCCACCGGACAGCCCCGGCCCAGCCACTCTCGTGTCGTCGGCTTTCTGGTGACGCCATCCCCCTATGAGCTTTGTGCTGTGCCCCGCTAGAGTTGCTCCTCAGCTGGGACCCTGTTGTACAATAAATTAGTCTAGTGGCTCCCACTTGGTTTCTGTATCCAGTCTGGGCCCCTGCCAAGGTCCTGGTTGTGTTGGGTCGTCAGTCACCTGCCTGATGTCAGTGCTCACCCCTCACCCCTCACCCCTCACCTCATTCATTCATTTTTTTTTTTTTTTTTTTTTGAGATGGAGCCTACTCTGTCACCCAGGCTGGAGTGCAGTGGTGCAATCTCAGCTCACTGCAACCTCCGCCTCCAGAGTTCAAGCGATTCTCGTGCCTCAGCTTCCTGAGTAGCTGGGATTACAGGCACCGGGTACCACCCCCGGCTCATTTTTGTCTTTTTAGTAGTGATGGGTTTCGCCATGTTGGCCAGTCTGGTTTCAAACTCCTGACTTCACGTGACCACCAGCCTCAGCCTCCCAAAGTGCTGGGATTACAGGCGTGAGCCACCGAGACCAGCCTCACCTCATTCACTCTTACCTGGACGCCTGACTTTACTTGAGATACAGGCATAGTGATTCTCAGCAGGAAACAGCCTGCCCCCACGTCACGCCCAGAGACCCATCACTGGCTGCCTGGCTTGGTGACAAAGTCCATGCGTAAGTCTTGGCTGGGGTGGATATGAATAGGCATATGCCAAGAATCAATCCATTCCCTGGCTAGGGTGGGAGACTGTGTTGTGCTCCCCCAGACCACCCTCAGGTTCAGTGATTTCTAGAAGGTCTCACAGCCCTAGAAAAGCTGTTATTCTCCCTGTTAACAGTTTATTACAGAGAAGGGTACAGATTAAAGTCAGCAAAGATGAAAGGCACAGGGACCAGAGTCCAGAATGACCAGGCCAAGGCTGCAGCTCTCTTTTCTGGTGGACTCCTACAGGCAGTGCTTAATTCTCCCCCAACAGTAAGTGAGGCAGCAGAGAGCCCTGCCAGCCACGGAAGCTCACCTGGGCCTTGGTGTCCATGGTTTTTGTTGGGAGTTGGTCATCCTAGGCTTGAGCCCCCGCAGCATGGCTGACCTCAGTTACTCAGTCTCCAGCCCCTCCTGAAGTCAGATGGATACAGGCCTGACGGCCCCACCCTCGATCACATTGTTGGCATAAACTGTGTTGTATGGTCCAAGGCCCTAGCTATGTACAAAGACACTATTTCAGGCAGGACATTCCAAGGCCTTAGCAGATATCTCCCAGCCTCCTGTCAAGAGTCAGTTTGGACTCTTGGTCCAGTGGCTTGCATTGTGCAAGGAATGACTTCCCCACTTTTTACTACACAGGCCACCCCTCTTGGCTCTAACAGCAAAATGATATTAGTTTGAGCATCTCTGTGTGTGTGTGTGTGTGTGTGTGTGTGTGTGTGTGTGTGTGTTTTCTTGAGACAGGGTCTTGCTCTGTCACCGAGGCTGGAGTGCAGTGATGCCATCAGGGCTCACTGCAGCCTTGACTTCCTGGGTTCAAGCAATCCTCCCATCTCAGCCTCCCTAGTAGCTGGGACTGCAGGCACATGCCACCATGCTTTGCTAATTTTTGTATTTTTTGTAGAGACGGAGTTTCACCATGTTGGCCAGGCTGCTTTCGAACTCCCTATCTCAGGTCATCTGACTGCCTCAGCCCCCCAGAGTGCTGGGATTACAGGTGTAAGCTACTGTGCCCAGCCAAATTTCCTTCCTAATTTCTTCATTGAACCACTGGCCATTCCGGACCATATTGTTTAATTTTCACGTGTATGTATAGTTTCCAGAATTCCTCTTGTTGTTGATTTCCACTTTTATTCTGTTGTGGTCAGAGAAGATGCTTGATATTATTTTAACATTTGTAATGTTTTAAGACTTGCTTTGTGACCTAACATATGGTGTATCCTTGAGAATGATCCATGTGCTGAGGAGAAGAATGTGTATTCTGCAGACTTTAGACGAAGTGTTCTATAAGTATCTAGTAGGTCCATTTCTTTTGTAGTGCAGATTAAGTCTAATGTTTTCTTATTGGGTTTCCATCTGGGACACCCGTCCAATGCTGAATGTGGGGTGTTGACGTCTTTAGCTGTTATTGCGTTAACGTCTCTCTTGGGCTCCAATAACATTTGCTTTACGTGCTCCAGTGTTGTGTGCATATGTATTTACAATTGTTATATTCTGTTGCTGGATGACCTTCTTTGTCTCCTCTTACAGTTTTTTTGGTTGTTGTTGTTTGTTTGTTTTGTTTTGGAGACGGAGTCTCGCTCTGTCACCCAGGCTGGAGTGCAGTGGCGCGATCTTGGCTCACTGCAAGCTTCGCCTCCCAGGTTGACGCCATTCTCCTGCCTCAGCCTCCTGAGTAGCTGGGACTACAGGCGCCCGCCACCACGCCTGGCTAATTTTTTGTATTTTTAGTAGAGACGGGGTTTCACCATGTTAGCCGGGATAGTCTCAATCTCCTGACCTCGTGATCCGCCCGTCTTGGCCTCCCAAAGTGCTGGGATTACAGGCGTGAGCCACCACACCCGGCCTCCTCTTACAGTTTTTGTTTTAAAATCTGTTCTGTCTAAGTATTGCTACTCCTGCTCTTTTTTGTTTTCCATTGGCATGGAGTATCTTTTTCCATCCCTTTATTTTCAGTCTATGTGTATCTTTACAGGTGAAGTGTGTTTCTTCTAGACAAAAGAGCATTGAGCTTTGCTTTTTCATCCATTCAGCCACTCTGTGTCTTTGTATTGGAGAGTTTAGTCCATTTACATTCAATGTTATTATTGCTAAGCAGGGACTTACTCCTGCTATTTTGTTATTTCTTTTCTCACTGTTTTGTGGTCTTCTCTTTTTTTTTTTTTTTTTTTTTTTTTTTTTTCCTTGTCTTCCTTTTAATGAAGGTGATTTTCTCTGGTGGTATGATTTAATTTCTTGCTTTTTTGTGTGTGTGTATCCATTGTGTGTTTTTTCTTCTTTTCTTTTTGAGACACAGTCTCACTTATTGTGTGCTTTTTGATTTGAGGTTGCCGTGAGGCTTGCAAATATTATCTTATAACTCATTATTTTAAACGGATGACAACACTGATTGCGTAAACAAACATAAAGCAAAAGGAAGACTAATAAAAACTCTACACTTTAAGTTCATCTTAGTGCTTTTTAACTTTTTGTTGTTTCTCTTTTTTTGTTTTTGAGATAAAGTCTTGCTCTGTTGCCCAGGCTAGAGTGCAGTGGCACGATCTCAGCTCACTGTAACCTCCACTTCCCAGGTTCAACCGATTCTCCTGCCTCAGCCTCCTGGGTAGCAGGCGCCCACCACCATGCCCAGCTAAATTTTTTGTATTTTTAGTAGAGATGGGGTTTCACCATGTTGGCCAGGCTTGTCTCGAACTCCTGCCCTCAGGTGATCCACCCACCTCAGCCTTACAAAGTGCTGGGATTACCTGCGTGAGCCACCGGGTCCGGCCTCTTTATGTCTTACTGTACTGTCTGTCTTGAAAAGTACTTATTATTTTTGATTGGTTCATCATTTAGTCTAATTAAAATAAGAGTAGTTTACACACCACAATTACAGTATTATAATACTCTGTTTTTCTGTGTGCTTACTATTACCAGTGAGTTTTGTACCTTTAGATGATTTCTTCTTGCTCATTAATATCCTTTTTTTTTTCAGATTGAAAAACTCCCTTTAGCATTTCTTGTGGGATATAGGTCTGGTGTTGATGAAATCTCGCAGCTTTTGTTTGTCTGGGAAGGTCTTTATTTCTCCTTCCTGTTGGAAGGATATTTTTGCCAGATACGTTATTCTCGGCTAAAAGTTTTTTTTCCTTCAGCACTTTAAATATGTCATGCCACTCCCCCCTGGCCTGTAAGGTTTCCACTGGAAAGGTGGCTGCCCCATGTCATGTATTGGAGCTCTACTGCATGTTATTTGTTTCTTTTCTCTTGCTGCTTTTAGGATCCTTTCTTTATCCTTGACCTTTCGGAGTTTAATTATCAGATGCCTTGAGGTCGTCTTCTTTGGGTTAAATCTGCTTGGTGTTCTATAAACTTCTTGTACAAAAAATCAGCCAGGCATGGTGGTGGGCACCTGTAATCCCAGCTACTTGGGAGGCTGAGGCAGGAGAATCGCTTGAACCCTGGAGGTGGAGGTTGCAGTGAGCCGAGATCGCATCATTGCACTCCCACCTGGGCGACAGAGCAAAACTCCGTCTCAAAAAAAAAATTATTTGGGCTCGGTGGTGCCTGTAGTCCCAGCTACTTGGGAGGCAGGAGGTCCACTTGATGTTGAGATTGCAGTGAGCCGTGATCCTGCCACTGCACTCCGGCCCGGGCAACAGAGTGAGACCCTGTCTAAAGAAAAAATAAAAATAAAAAAGCAACATATCCTAAATAAAGGATCCTCCATAATGTTTCCACCAGATTTCTAATCAGAAACATGGAGGCCAGGAAGCAGTGGAGAATGACGACCCTCAGGCAGCCCTGGAGGATGCTGTCACAGGCTGGGGCAAGGGCCTTCAGGCTACCAACTGGGAGCTCTGGGAACAGCCCTGTTGCAAACAGGAAGCCATGGCCCGGCCAGAGCCCAGAATGTGGGCTGAGCTGGGATCCACGTGACAGCTTTGAGGCTCACTGGGAGCAGCCTCTGGACAGGAGAGGTCCCATCCAGGAAACCTTGGGCATGGCTGGGAAGTGGGGTACTTGGTGCCGGGTCTGTATGTGTGTGTGACTGGTGTGTGTGAGAGAGAATGTGTGCCCTGAGTGTCAGTGTGAGTCTGTGTATGTGTGAATATTGTCTTTGTGTGGGTGATTTTCTGCATGTGTAATCGTGTCCTTGCAAGTGTGAACAAGTGGACAAGTGTCTGGGAGTGGACAAGAGATCTGTGCACCATCAGGTGTGTGCATAGCGTCTGTGCATGTCAAGAGTGCAAGGTGAAGTGAAGGGACCAGGCCCATGATGCCACTCATCATCAGGAGCTCTAAGGCCCCAGGTAAGTGCCAGTGACAGATAAGGGTGCTGAAGGTCACTCTGGAGTGGGCAGGTGGGGGTAGGGAAAGGGCAAGGCCATGTTCTGGAGGAGGGGTTGTGACTACATTACGGTGTATGAGCCTAGCTGGGAGGTGGATGGCCGGGTCCACTGAGACCCTGGTTATCCCAGAAGCCTGTGTGGGCTTGGGGAGCTTGGAGTGGGGAGAGGGGGTGACTTCTCCGACCAGGCCTTTCTACCACCCTACCCTGGGTAAGGGCCTGGAGCAGGAAGCAGCGGCAAGGACCTCTGGAGCAGCCCATACCCACCCTGGCCTGACTCTGCCACTGGCAGCACAGTCAACACAGCAGGTTCACTCACAGCAGAGGGCGAAGGCCATCATCAGCTCCCTTTATAAGGGAAGGGTCACGCGCTCGGTGTGCTGAGAGTGTCCTGCCTGGTCCTCTGTGCCTGGTGGGGTGGGGGTGCCAGGTGTGTCCAGAGGAGCCCAGTTGGTAGTGAGGCAGCCATGGGGCTAGAAGCACTGGTGCCCCTGGCCATGATAGTGGCCATCTTCCTGCTCCTGGTGGACCTGATGCACCGGCACCAACGCTGGGCTGCACGCTACCCGCCAGGTCCCCTGCCACTGCCCGGGCTGGGCAACCTTGCTGCATGTGGACTTCCAGAACACACCATACTGCTTCGACCAGGTGAGGGAGGAGGTCCTGGAGGGCGGCAGAGGTCCTGAGGATGCCCCACCACCAGCAAACATGGGTGGTGGGTTAAACCACAGGCTGGATCAGAAGCCAGGCTGAGAAGGGGAAGCAGGTTTGGGGGACGTCCTGGGGAAGGACATTTATACATGGCATGAAGGACTGGATTTTCCAAAGGCCAAGGAAGAGTAGGGCAAGGGCCTGGAGGTGGAGCTGGACTTGGCAGTGGGCATGCAAGCCCATTGGGCAACATATGTTATGGAGTACAAAGTCCCTTCTGCTGACACCAGAAGGAAAGGCCTTGGGAATGGAAGATGAGTTAGTCCTGAGTGCCGTTTAAATCACGAAATCGAGGATGAAGGGGGTGCAGTGACCCGGTTCAAACCTTTTGCACTGTGGGTCCTCGGGCCTCACTGCTCACCGGCATGGACCATCATCTGGGAATGGGATGCTAACTGGGGCCTCTCGGCAATTTTGGTGACTCTTGCAAGGTCATACCTGGGTGACGCATCCAAACTGAGTTCCTCCATCACAGAAGGTGTGACCCCCACCCCCGCCCCAGGATCAGGAGGCTGGGTCTCCTCCTTCCACCTGCTCACTCCTGGTAGCCCCGGGGGTCGTCCAAGGTTCAAATAGGACTAGGACCTGTAGTCTGGGGGGATCCTGGCTTGACAAGAGGCCCTGACCCTCCCTCTGCAGTTGCGGCGCCGCTTCGGGGACGTGTTCAGCCTGCAGCTGGCCTGGACGCCGGTGGTCGTGCTCAATGGGCTGGCGGCCGTGCGCGAGGCGATGGTGACCCGCGGCGAGGACACGGCCGACCGCCCGCCTGCGCCCATCTACCAGGTCCTGGGCTTCGGGCCGCGTTCCCAAGGCAAGCGGCGGTGGGGGACAGAGACCGCGTTTCCGTGGGCCCCGGGTGGACAGTGACCGTAGCCCAAGCAGCGCCGACAGGGCGTGGGGTCCTGGACGTGAAACAGAGATAAAGGCCAGCGAGTGGGCTGAGGACAGTGGGCCAGGAAACCACCTGCACGGGGGAGGTGCGAGTCTGTGGGCTGGGAGGGGGCGGGGCTACTGCCCAGACCCGCCAGAAGCCCGGTGGGCGAGGCTGATGCGTCGAAGTGGCGGTGGCGGGGACCGCGCCTATGCTGCGGGCTCAGTGTGGGCGGGACGGGCGGGATCTTCCTTGAGTGGAAAGGTGGTCAGGGTGGGCAGAGACGAGGTGGGGCCAAACCCCGCCCCAGGCAGGGGAGCAATGTGGGTGAGCAAAGAGTGGGCCCTGTGCCCAGCTGGACCGGGCTAGGGACTGCGGGAGACCTTGTGGAGCGCCAGGGTTGGAGTGGGTGGCGGAGGGTGGGGCCAAGGCCTTCATGGCAACGCCCACGTGTCCGTCCCGCCCCCAGGGGTGATCCTGTCGCGCTATGGGCCCGCGTGGCGCGAGCAGAGGCGCTTCTCCGTGTCCACCTTGCGCAACTTGGGCCTGGGCAAGAAGTCGCTGGAGCAGTGGGTGACCGAGGAGGCCGCCTGCCTTTGTGCCGCCTTCGCCGACCAAGCCGGTGGGTGATGGGCAGAAGGGCACACAGCGGGAACTGGGAAGGCGGGGGACGGAGAAGGAGACCCCTTACCCGCATCTCCCACCCCCAGGACGCCCCTTTCGCCCCAACGGTCTCTTGGACAAAGCCGTGAGCAACGTGATCGCCTCCCTCACCTGCGGGCGCCGCTTCGAGTACGACGACCCTCGCTTCCTCAGGCTGCTGGACCTAGCTCAGGGAGGGATCGAAGGAGGAGTCGGGCTTCCTGCGCGAGGTGCGGAGCAAGGGTCTTTGCAGGGCGAGCTCCTGAGAGGTGCCGGGGCTGGACTGGGGCCTCCGAAGGGCAGGATTTGCGTAGATGGGTTTGGGAAAGGACATTCCAGGAGACCCCACTGTAAGAAGGGCCTGGAGGAGGAGGGGACATCTCAGACATGGTCGTGGGAGAGGTGTGCCCGGGTCAGGGGGCACCAGGAGAGGCCAAGGACTCTGTACCCCCGTCCACGTTGGAGATTTCGATTTTAGGTTTCTCCTCTGGGCAAGGAGAGAGAGGGTGGAGGCTGGCACTTGGGGAGGGACTTGGTGAGGTCAGTGGTAAGGACAGGCAGGCCCTGGGTCTTCCTGGAGATGGCTGGGGCCTGAGACTGGTCCAGATGAACGCAGAGCACAGGAAGGATTGAGACCCGGTTCTGTCTGGTGTAGGTGCTGAATGCTGTCCCCGTCCTCCCGCACATCCCAGCGCTGGCTGGCAAGGTCCTACGCTTCCAAAAGGCTTTCCTGACCCAGCTGGATGAGCTGCTAACTGAGCACAGGATGACCTGGGACCCAGCCCAGCCACCCCGAGACCTGACTGAGGCCTTCCTGGCAAAGAAGGAGAAGGTGAGAGTGGCTGCCACGGTGGGGGGCAAGGGTGGTGGGTTGAACGTCCCAGGAGGAATGAGGGGAGGCTGGGCAAAAGGTTGGACCAGTGCATCACCCGGCGAGCCGCATCTGGGCTGACAGGTGCAGAATTGGAGGTCATTTGGGGGCTACCCCGTTCTATCCCCTGAGTATCCTCTCGGCCCTGCTCAGGCCAAGGGGAGCCCTGAGAGCAGCTTCAATGATGAGAACCTGCGCATAGTGGTGGGTAACCTGTTCCTTGCCGGGATGGTGACCACCTTGACCACGCTGGCCTGGGGCCTCCTGCTCATGATCCTACACCTGGATGTGCAGCGTGAGCCCAGCTGGGGCCCAAGGCAGGGACTGAGGGAGGAAGGGTACAGCTGGGGGCCCCTGGGCTTAGCTGGGACACCCGGGGCTTCCAGCACAGGCGTGGCCAGGCTCCTGTAAGCCTAACTTCCTCCAACACAGGAGGAAGGAGAGTGTCCCCTGGGTGCTGACCCATTGTGGGGACGCATGTCTGTCCAGTCCGTGTCCAACAGGAGATCGACGACGTGATAGGGCAGGTGCGGCGACCAGAGATGGGTGACCAGGCTCACATGCCCTACACCACTGCCGTGATTCATGAGGTGCAGCGCTTTGGGGACATCGTCCCCCTGGGTGTGACCCATATGACATCCCGTGACATCGAAGTACAGGGCTTCCGCATCCCTAAGGTAGGCCTGGCGCCCTCCTCACCCCAGCTCAGCACCAGCCCCTGGTGATAGCCCCAGCATGGCTACTGCCAGGTGGGCCCACTCTAGGAACCCTGGCCACCTAGTCCTCAATGCCACCACACTGACTGTCCCCACTTGGGTGGGGGGTCCAGAGTATAGGCAGGGCTGGCCTGTCCATCCAGAGCCCCCGTCTAGTGGGGAGACAAACCAGGACCTGCCAGAATGTTGGAGGACCCAGCGCCTGCAGGGAGAGGGGGCAGTGTGGGTGCCTCTGAGAGGTGTGACTGCGCCCTGCTGTGGGGTCGGAGAGGGTACTGTGGAGCTTCTCGGGCGCAGGACTAGTTGACAGAGTCCAGCTGTGTGCCAGGCAGTGTGTGTCCCCCGTGTGTTTGGTGGCAGGGGTCCCAGCATCCTAGAGTCCAGTCCCCACTCTCACCCTGCATCTCCTGCCCAGGGAACGACACTCATCACCAACCTGTCATCGGTGCTGAAGGATGAGGCCGTCTGGGAGAAGCCCTTCCGCTTCCACCCCGAACACTTCCTGGATGCCCAGGGCCACTTTGTGAAGCCGGAGGCCTTCCTGCCTTTCTCAGCAGGTGCCTGTGGGGAGCCCGGCTCCCTGTCCCCTTCCGTGGAGTCTTGCAGGGGTATCACCCAGGAGCCAGGCTCACTGACGCCCCTCCCCTCCCCACAGGCCGCCGTGCATGCCTCGGGGAGCCCCTGGCCCGCATGGAGCTCTTCCTCTTCTTCACCTCCCTGCTGCAGCACTTCAGCTTCTCCGTGGCCGCCGGACAGCCCCGGCCCAGCCACTCTCGTGTCGTCAGCTTTCTGGTGACCCCATCCCCCTATGAGCTTTGTGCTGTGCCCCGCTAGAATGGGGTACCTAGTCCCCAGCCTGCTCCCTAGCCAGAGGCTCTAATGTACAATAAAGCAATGTGGTAGTTCCAACTCGGGTCCCCTGCTCACGCCCTCGTTGGGATCATCCTCCTCAGGGCAACCCCACCCCTGCCTCATTCCTGCTTACCCCACCGCCTGGCCGCATTTGAGACGGGTACGTTGAGGCTGAGCAGATGTCAGTTACCCTTGCCCATAATCCCGTGTCCCCCACTGACCCAACTCTGACTGCCCAGATTGGTGACAAGGACTACATTGTCCTGGCATGTGGGGAAGGGGCCAGAATGGGCTGACTAGAGGTGTCAGTCAGCCCTGGATGTGGTGGAGAGGGCAGGACTCAGCCTGGAGGCCCATATTTCAGGCCTAACTCAGCCCACCCCACATCAGGGACAGCAGTCCTGCCAGCACCATCACAACAGTCACCTCCCTTCATATATGACACCCCAAAATGGAAGACAAATCATGTCAGGGAGCTATATGCCAGGGCTACCTCCCAGGGCTCAGTCGGCAGGTGCCAGAACATTCCCTGGGAAGGCCCCAGGAAAACCCAGGACCGAGCCACCGCCCTCAGCCTGTCACCTTGTGTCCAAAATTGGTGGGTTCTTGGTCTCACTGACTTCAAGAATGAAGCTGTGGACCCTCACGGTGAGTGTTACAGTTCTTAAAGATGGTGTGTTCAGAGTTTGTTCCTTCTGATGTTAAGACGTGTTCAGAGTTTCTTCCTTCTGGTGGGTGCGTGGTCTTGCTGGCTTCAGGAGTGAAGCTGCAGACCTTCACAGTGAGTGTTACGGCTCTTAAGGCTGCACGTACGGAGTTGTTCATTCTTCCTGGTGGGTTTGTGGTCTCACTGGCCTCAGGAGTGAAACTGCAGTCCTTCCAGTGTTACAACTCATAAAGGCAGTGTGGACCCAATGAGGGAGCAGCAGCAGCAAGACTTACTGCAAACAGCAAAAGAATGATGGCAACCAGGTTGCCGCTGCTACTTCAGGCAGCCTGCTTTTATTCCCTTATCTGACCCCCACCCACATCCTGCTGATTGGCCCATTTTACAGACAGTGGATTGGTCCACTTACAGAGAGCTGATTGGTGCATTTACAATCCCTGAGCTAGACACAGAGTACTGATTGGTATATTTACAAACCTTGAGCTAGACACAGAGTGCTGAATGGTGTATTTACAATCCCTTAGCTAGACATAAAGGTTGTCCCAGTCCCCACTAGATTAGCTAGATAGAGTAGACAGAGAGCACTGATTGGTGCGTTTACAAACCTTGAGTTAGACACAGGGTGCTGACTGGTGTGTTTACAAACCCTGAGCTAGACACAGAGTGCTGATTGGTGTATTTACAATCTTTTAGCTAGAAATAAAGGTTCCCCAAGTCCCCACCAGATTAGCTAGATACAGAGTGCTAATTGGTGCATGCACGAACCCGGAGCTAGACACAGAGTGCTGATTGGTGCATATACAATCCTCTGGCTAGACATAAAAGTTCTCCAAGTCCCCACCTGACTCAGGAGCCCAGCCAGCTTCGCCTAGTGGATCCTATGCCAGGGCCACAGGCAGAGCTGCCTGCTAGTCCCACACCAGGCACCTGTACTCCTCAGCCCTTGGGCAGTGGACGGGACCAGGTGCCGTGGAGCAGTGGGAGGCACCCATCCGGGAGGCTTGGGCCTCGCAGGGAGCCCACCGTAGGGAGGCTTGGGCATGGCAGGCTGCAAGTCCTGAGCCCTGCCCCGCGGGGAGGTGACTGAGGCCTGGCGACAATTCAAGTGTGGTGAGCGCCGGCAGGCCAGCAGTACTGGGGGACCCGGTGCCCCCTCTGCAGCTGCTGGCCCAGGTGCTAAGCCCCTCACTGCCTGGGGCCAGAGGCACCAGCCGGCCGCTCCGAGTGCAGGGCCCGCTGAGCCCCTGCCCACCCAGAACTGGTGCTGGCCCGCGAGCAACCCAGGTTCCCGCACACGCCTCTCCCTCCATACCTCCCCGCAAGCAGACGGAGCCGGCTCCAGCCTCCACCAGTCCAGAGAGGGGCTCCCACAGTGCAGCGCTGGGCTGAAGGGCTCCTCAAGTGTGGTCAGAGCAGAAGCTGAGGCCGAGGAGGCGCTGAGAGCGAGCGAGGACCGCCAGCACGTTGACACCTCTCAACCTCACCACAGGACTGGCCACCTCTCTGGGCCCTCAGGGATGCTGCTGTCTGGACCCCTGACCAGTGACGAGTTCGCACTCAGGGCCAGGCTGGCGCTGGAGGAGGACACTTGTTTGGCTCCAACCCTAGGTACCATCCTCCCAGTAGGGATCAGGCAGGGCCCACAGGCCTGCCCTAGGGACAGGAGTCAACCTTGGACCCATAAGGCACTGGGGCGGGCAGAGAAGGAGGAGGTGGCATGGGCAGCTGAGAGCCAGAGACCCTGACCCTAGTCCTTGCTCTGCCATTACCCCGTGTGACCCCGGGCCCACCCTTCCCCACCCTTCCCCACCCTTCCCCACCCCGGGCTTCTGTTTCCCTTCTGCCAACGAGAAGGCTGCTTCACCTGCCCCGAGTCCTGTCTTCCTGCTCTGCCTTCTGGGGCTGTGGCCCTTGCTGGCCTGGAGCCCCAACCAAGGGCAGGGACTGCTGTCCTCCACATCTGTCCTCACCGACATAATGGGCTGGGCTGGGCACACAGGCAGTGCCCAAGAGTTTCTAATGAGCATATGATTACCTGAGTCCTGGGCAGACCTTCTTAGGGAACAGCCTGGGACAGAGAACCACAGACACTCTGAGGAGCCACCTGAGGCCTCTTTTGCCAGAGGACCCTACAGCCTCCCTGGCAGCAGTTCCGCCAGCATTTCTGTAAATGCCCTCATGCCAGGGTGCGGCCCGGCTGTCAGCACGAGAGGGACGTTGGTCTGTCCCCTGGCACCGAGTCAGTCAGAAGGGTGGCCAGGGCCCCCTTGGGCCCCTCCAGAGACAATCCACTGTGGTCACACGGCTCGGTGGCAGGAAGTGCTGTTCCTGCAGCTGTGGGGACAGGGAGTGTGGATGAAGCCAGGCTGGGTTTGTCTGAAGACGGAGGCCCCGAAAGGTGGCAGCCTGGCCTATAGCAGCAGCAACTCTTGGATTTATTGGAAAGATTTTCTTCACGGTTCTGAGTCTTGGGGGTGTTAGAGGCTCAGAACCAGTCCAGCCAGAGCTCTGTCATGGGCACGTAGACCCGGTCCCAGGGCCTTTGCTCTTTGCTGTCCTCAGAGGCCTCTGCAAAGTAGAAACAGGCAGCCTTGTGAGTCCCCTCCTGGGAGCAACCAACCCTCCCTCTGAGATGCCCCGGGGCCAGGTCAGCTGTGGTGAAAGGTAGGGATGCAGCCAGCTCAGGGGAGTGGCCCAGAGTTCCTGCCCACCCAAGGAGGCTCCCAGGAAGGTCAAGGCACCTGACTCCTGGGCTGCTTCCCTCCCCTCCCCTCCCCAGGTCAGGAAGGTGGGAAAGGGCTGGGGTGTCTGTGACCCTGGCAGTCACTGAGAAGCAGGGTGGAAGCAGCCCCCTGCAGCACGCTGGGTCAATGGTCTTACCAGATGGATACGCAGCAACTTCCTTTTGAACCTTTTTATTTTCCTGGCAGGAAGAAGAGGGATCCAGCAGTGAGATCAGGCAGGTTCTGTGTTGCACAGACAGGGAAACAGGCTCTGTCCACACAAAGTCGGTGGGGCCAGGATGAGGCCCAGTCTGTTCACACATGGCTGCTGCCTCTCAGCTCTGCACAGACGTCCTCGCTCCCCTGGGATGGCAGCTTGGCCTGCTGGTCTTGGGGTTGAGCCAGCCTCCAGCACTGCCTCCCTGCCCTGCTGCCTCCCACTCTGCAGTGCTCCATGGCTGCTCAGTTGGACCCACGCTGGAGACGTTCAGTCGAAGCCCCGGGCTGTCCTTACCTCCCAGTCTGGGGTACCTGCCACCTCCTGCTCAGCAGGAATGGGGCTAGGTGCTTCCTCCCCTGGGGACTTCACCTGCTCTCCCTCCTGGGATAAGACGGCAGCCTCCTCCTTGGGGGCAGCAGCATTCAGTCCTCCAGGTCTCCTGGGGGTCGTGACCTGCAGGAGGAATAAGAGGGCAGACTGGGCAGAAAGGCCTTCAGAGCACCTCATCCTCCTGTTCTCACACTGGGGTGTCACAGTCCTGGGAAGTTCTTCCTTTTCAGTTGAGCTGTGGTAACCTTGTGAGTTTCCTGGAGGGGGCCTGCCACTACCCTTGGGACTCCCTGCCGTGTGTCTGGGTCTAACTGAGCTCTGAAAGGAGAGAGCCCCAGCCCTGGGCCTTCCAGGGGAAGCCTTACCTCAGAGGTTGGCTTCTTCCTACTCTTGACTTTGCGTCTCTGCAGAGGGAGGTGGGAGGGGTGACACAACCCTGACACCCACACTATGAGTGATGAGTAGTCCTGCCCCGACTGGCCCATCCTTTCCAGGTGCAGTCCCCCTTACTGTGTCTGCCAAGGGTGCCAGCACAGCCGCCCCACTCCAGGGGAAGAGGAGTGCCAGCCCTTACCCACCTGAGTGGGCACAGTGTAGCATTTATTCATTAGCCCCCACACTGGCCTGACCATCTCCCCTGTGGGCTGCATGACAAGGAGAGAGAACAGGCTGAGGTGAGAGCTACTGTCAACACCTAAACCTAAAAAATCTATAATTGGGCTGGGCAGGGTGGCTCACGCCTGTAATCCCAGCACTTTGGGAGGCCGAGATGGGTGGATCACCTGAGGTCAGATGTTCGAGACCAGCCTGGCCAACATGGTGAAACCCCGTCTCTACTAAAAATACAAAAAATTAGCTGGGCGTGGTGGTGGGTGCCTGTAATCCCAGCTACTCAGGAGGCTGAGGCAGGAGAATTGCTTGAACCTGGGAGGCAGAGGTTGCAGTGAGCCGAGATCACACCATTGCACTCCAGTCTGGGTGATAAGTATGAAACGCCATCTCCAAAACAAAAGAAAAGCCTAATTCCCCAAGAACTGTCAGTCTTTCACCTGTCTGCTAGCTCCCAGGGAGACCCCACTTGCCAGGGCTGTCTACATTTGTCCTGAGATCTCTTCTGGTGGGAACAGCACTTTCCTCAGGAAAGTTTGTTGAAAGTCATCAGATCCATGATTGAAAATCGAAGCTGCCTGTGGTGATGGATAACAGCTGGGGTTAAAAAGCAGCAGCTGGGGCATGAGCGGTCCACAGTGAGTTTTTGTTGTTGTTTTTGTTTTTTTGGGTGGGGGATGGGGTCTTGCTAGGTCTCAAACTCCTGGCCTCAAGTCATCCTCCCATTACAGCCTTCTGAGTCACTGACACTACAGGTGTGAGCCACCATGTCCAGCTTGTAGTGGTTTTGAACAGCTCTTGCCCCTTCTTGGGAATCTAGGTGCCCTGCACGTGGGTAAGGCTGTCTGCAGCTGTGCCCATATTCAGGAAGGCCGGCAAGGCCCTGAGCCCTCACCCGTGACTGACCTGAGGTGCTGTGCAGACAGCAGGTGACGGCTAAGGGAAAGTTGAGCACTGCCTAGCCGAGCACTGAAGCCACGCCCGGCACACAGAGAGAGACCCACTCGGCAAAGACTTCGCTTCCAGGCACCTAAGGAACTCTCTGACCAGTCATTAGCTGACCACTGCCGTAACTGAAGAGCGGCTTCAGTGGCCACAGCTCGCAGGGAATGGAGACATTAATGCTTAGTCAGAATTAGTTCAGAAAAGTCACCCAGCAAAGAAACAGCTCCAACAGGCAACAACAACAACACATCCTTGGCAGGGAAGAGAATCTGACTTCCGGAGTTGCCACATTATCGCCCGTGAAATGTCCAGGTTTTAACAAATTATGAGACATGGAAAGGAAACCGAAAGGACGACCCAGACACGGGAAAAGTCACCAATGGGACCAGCCCGATGCTGCAATTGCTAGACAAAGACGTTCAGTCAGCTCATTTAAATATGTTCAAAGACCTAAAACATGCTGCATCTGAGGCTGCACCGGCTGGAACCTGCTGATCTCGGAAGCTAAGCATGGTCAGGCCTGGCTAGTACTTCAAAGGGAGAAACCACGTGTAGGCCTGGTGCAGTGGCTCACACCTATAATCCTAGCACTCTGGGAAGCTGAGGCCCGTGGATTGCTTGAGCCCAGGAGTTTGAGAGCAGCTTGGGAAATGTGGTGAGACCCCCATCTCTACAAAAAATTTAAAAAATTAGCTGGCTGCCTATGGTCCCAGCCTCTCAGGATGCTGAGGTAGGAGGATCACTTCAGCCCAGGAAGTTGAGGCTGCAGTGAGCCATGACTGCATCACTGCACTCCAGCTTGGGCGACAGAGAGACCCTCTCCCAAGAAAAAGAAAAGAACCATGTCAAAAGAACTAACGAAAGTGTGGGAACAATGTCTCACCAATTAGAGAATATCAATAATGGGATGAACCTTATAAAAAGGGGCTGGGCATGGTGGCTCATGCCTATAATCCCAGCACTTTGGGAGGCTGAGGCGGGCATATCATGAGGTCAAGAGATTGAGACCAGCCTGGCCAACATGGTGAAACCCCGTCTCTACTTAAAATACAAAAATTAGCCGGGCGTGGTGGCACGTGCCTGTAATCCCAGCTACTCGGGAGGCTGAGGCAGGAGAATCGCTTGAACCCGAGAGGCAGAGATTGCAGTGAGCCGAGATTGCACCACTGCACTACAGCCTGGGTGACAGAGCGATACTCCAAAAAACAAAACAAAACAAAAAACAAAAAAAAAGTTTAAAAAGGAACCAAATAAAAATTCTGGAGTTGTAGGGTAAAATAAATGAAAATTCATCCCAGGGGCCCAAGAGCAGATTGGAACAATTGGAAGAAAGAGCCTGTGACTATGGAGAGAGGCCACCTGAGGTAGTCCCCTCTGAGGAACAGGAACAAGCATGAAGAGCAATGCACAGAGATCCAGAGACCTGGAGACGCCGTCAAGCTTTCCGACATACACACAATGGGAGTCCCAGGAAAGAAGACAGGGAGAAAGGAGTAAAGGAATAGTTGAAGAATTAATGGCTGAAAAACCTCCCAAATCTGATGAAAAATATTAATCCGTACATCCAAAAAGCTCATCAAACTCCAAGTAGGGTAAACTCAAAGAGATCTTCAGCCATACGCATCATCATAATCACTGTCAAAAGACAGATTTTTCTTTTTTTAGAATTTTAAATGTACCTTTTAATTTGCTCCTGGGGCAAAGAGCCAGGACTGGTACTAGAGCAGTGTCTGGGATGAGAAGAATTTAATAAAATGGGATTAGGTCCAATGGTTGGGTTAGGGGAGGCAACCTGCTCGGAAGGATCAGCCTCAACCTATCCATGCAGCAGGGCCTCCACCTGTCCCTCTCCGTAGTCCCACACCTGGAACCCAGAGCCATCTGCCTCTTCCCAGATCATGGCCGACAGCACTCCACCGGACTGCTGCTGGAGCAGGCACAGGATTCACTTATTGAGGGCTGTGGCCTGGCACAGATCATAGCCTATACCCAGGGACAGTTGTGTCACTTCTGCCACCACCACATCCGCCTTCTGCAGCCACATCAAGTACCACTCATGGATGAGCCCGTCACCCCCAGCGGACTTATCAACCCCGCGTCCAGCTCCACAGCCGCCACGTGCTCGGTGAGCACTGGCTCCAAGCATGGCAGCTGCCATACAATCCACCTGTAGAGGGCCCGGTCCTCCTGTCCTCAGTGGATGATCCCGTAGAAGTCCAGAGCTCGGCAGCTGCCCTCCCACAAAAGACAGGATTTTGAAAGCAGCAAGAGAGAAGAGACGTATCAGGTAGTCACAGTGGCTCAGGCCTGTAATCCCAGCACTTTGGGAGGCCCAGGTGGGAGGATCGCTTCACCCCAGGAATTCAAGACCAGCCTGGACAACTTGGAAGAACCCGGTCTCTACAAAAAATACAAAATTAGCTGGGATTGGGTGCGGTGGCTCATGCCTATAATCCCAGCACTTTGGGAGCCTGAGGTGGGTGGATCACCTGAAGTCAGGAGTTCAAGACTAGCCTGGCCAACATGGTGAAACCCTATCTCTACTGAAAATATAAAAAGCTAGACGTGGTGGCACACACCTGTAATCCCAGCTACTTAGGAGGCTGAGGCAGGAGAATTGCTTGAAGCCTAGAGGTGAAGGTTGTAGTGAGCCGAGATTGCATCATTGCACAATGGAGGGGAGCCACCAGCCTGGGCAACAAGAGGAAATCTCCGTCTCCAAAAAAAAAAAAAAAAAAAAAAAAGGATTAGGCTGGGTGGTGCCTGTAGTCCCAGCTACTTGGGAGGCAGGGGGTCCACTTGATGTCGAGACTGCAGTGAGCCATGATCCTGCCACTGCACTCCGGCCTGGGCAACAGAGTGAGACCCTGTCTAAAGAAAAAAAAAATAAAGCAACATATCCTGAACAAAGGATCCTCCATAACGTTCCCACCAGATTTCTAATCAGAAACATGGAGGCCAGAAAGCAGTGGAGGAGGACAACCCTCAGGCAGCCCGGGAGGATGTTGTCACAGGCTGGGGCAAGGGCCTTCCGGCTACCAACTGGGAGCTCTGGGAACAGCCCTGTTGCAAACAAGAAGCCATAGCCCGGCCAGAGCCCAGGAATGTGGGCTGGGCTGGGAGCAGCCTCTGGACAGGAGTGGTCCCATCCAGGAAACCTCCGGCATGGCTGGGAAGTGGGGTACTTGGTGCCGGGTCTGTATGTGTGTGTGACTGGTGTGTGTGAGAGAGAATGTGTGCCCTAAGTGTCAGTGTGAGTCTGTGTATGTGTGAATATTGTCTTTGTGTGGGTGATTTTCTGCGTGTGTAATCGTGTCCCTGCAAGTGTGAACAAGTGGACAAGTGTCTGGGAGTGGACAAGAGATCTGTGCACCATCAGGTGTGTGCATAGCGTCTGTGCATGTCAAGAGTGCAAGGTGAAGTGAAGGGACCAGGCCCATGATGCCACTCATCATCAGGAGCTCTAAGGCCCCAGGTAAGTGCCAGTGACAGATAAGGGTGCTGAAGGTCACTCTGGAGTGGGCAGGTGGGGGTAGGGAAAGGGCAAGGCCATGTTCTGGAGGAGGGGTTGTGACTACATTAGGGTGTATGAGCCTAGCTGGGAGGTGGATGGCCGGGTCCACTGAAACCCTGGTTATCCCAGAAGGCTTTGCAGGCTTCAGGAGCTTGGAGTGGGGAGAGGGGGTGACTTCTCCGACCAGGCCCCTCCACCGGCCTACCCTGGGTAAGGGCCTGGAGCAGGAAGCAGGGGCAAGAACCTCTGGAGCAGCCCATACCCGCCCTGGCCTGACTCTGCCACTGGCAGCACAGTCAACACAGCAGGTTCACTCACAGCAGAGGGCAAAGGCCATCATCAGCTCCCTTTATAAGGGAAGGGTCACGCGCTCGGTGTGCTGAGAGTGTCCTGCCTGGTCCTCTGTGCCTGGTGGGGTGGGGGTGCCAGGTGTGTCCAGAGGAGCCCATTTGGTAGTGAGGCAGGTATGGGGCTAGAAGCACTGGTGCCCCTGGCCGTGATAGTGGCCATCTTCCTGCTCCTGGTGGACCTGATGCACCGGCGCCAACGCTGGGCTGCACGCTACTCACCAGGCCCCCTGCCACTGCCCGGGCTGGGCAACCTGCTGCATGTGGACTTCCAGAACACACCATACTGCTTCGACCAGGTGAGGGAGGAGGTCCTGGAGGGCGGCAGAGGTGCTGAGGCTCCCCTACCAGAAGCAAACATGGATGGTGGGTGAAACCACAGGCTGGACCAGAAGCCAGGCTGAGAAGGGGAAGCAGGTTTGGGGGACTTCCTGGAGAAGGGCATTTATACATGGCATGAAGGACTGGATTTTCCAAAGGCCAAGGAAGAGTAGGGCAAGGGCCTGGAGGTGGAGCTGGACTTGGCAGTGGGCATGCAAGCCCATTGGGCAACATATGTTATGGAGTACAAAGTCCCTTCTGCTGACACCAGAAGGAAAGGCCTTGGGAATGGAAGATGAGTTAGTCCTGAGTGCCGTTTAAATCACGAAATCGAGGATGAAGGGGGTGCAGTGACCCGGTTCAAACCTTTTGCACTGTGGGTCCTCGGGCCTCACTGCTCACCGGCATGGACCATCATCTGGGAATGGGATGCTAACTGGGGCCTCTCGGCAATTTTGGTGACTCTTGCAAGGTCATACCTGGGTGACGCATCCAAACTGAGTTCCTCCATCACAGAAGGTGTGACCCCCACCCCCGCCCCACGATCAGGAGGCTGGGTCTCCTCCTTCCACCTGCTCACTCCTGGTAGCCCCGGGGGTCGTCCAAGGTTCAAATAGGACTAGGACCTGTAGTCTGGGGGGATCCTGGCTTGACAAGAGGCCCTGACCCTCCCTCTGCAGTTGCGGCGCCGCTTCGGGGACGTGTTCAGCCTGCAGCTGGCCTGGACGCCGGTGGTCGTGCTCAATGGGCTGGCGGCCGTGCGCGAGGCGCTGGTGACCCACGGCGAGGACACCGCCGACCGCCCGCCTGTGCCCATCACCCAGATCCTGGGTTTTGGGCCGCGTTCCCAAGGCAAGCAGCGGTGGGGACAGAGACAGATTTCCGTGGGACCCGGGTGGGTGATGACCGTAGTCCGAGCTGGGCAGAGAGGGCGCGGGGTCGTGGACATGAAACAGGCCAGCGAGTGGGGACAGCGGGCCAAGAAACCACCTGCACTAGGGAGGTGTGAGCATGGGGACGAGGGCGGGGCTTGTGACGAGTGGGCGGGGCCACTGCCGAGACCTGGCAGGAGCCCAATGGGTGAGGCTGGCGCATTTCCCAGCTGGAATCCGGTGTCGAAGTGGGGGGCGGGGACCGCACCTGTGCTGTAAGCTCAGTGTGGGTGGCGCGGGGCCCGCGGGGTCTTCCCTGAGTGCAAAGGCGGTCAGGGTGGGCAGAGACGAGGTGGGGCAAAGCCCTGCCCCAGCCAAGGGAGCAAGGTGGATGCACAAAGAGTGGGCCCTGTGACCAGCTGGACAGAGCCAGGGACTGCGGGAGACCAGGGGGAGCATAGGGTTGGAGTGGGTGGTGGATGGTGGGGCTAATGCCTTCATGGCCACGCGCACGTGCCCGTCCCACCCCCAGGGGTGTTCCTGGCGCGCTATGGGCCCGCGTGGCGCGAGCAGAGGCGCTTCTCCGTCTCCACCTTGCGCAACTTGGGCCTGGGCAAGAAGTCGCTGGAGCAGTGGGTGACCGAGGAGGCCGCCTGCCTTTGTGCCGCCTTCGCCAACCACTCCGGTGGGTGATGGGCAGAAGGGCACAAAGCGGGAACTGGGAAGGCGGGGGACGGGGAAGGCGACCCCTTACCCGCATCTCCCACCCCCAGGACGCCCCTTTCGCCCCAACGGTCTCTTGGACAAAGCCGTGAGCAACGTGATCGCCTCCCTCACCTGCGGGCGCCGCTTCGAGTACGACGACCCTCGCTTCCTCAGGCTGCTGGACCTAGCTCAGGAGGGACTGAAGGAGGAGTCGGGCTTTCTGCGCGAGGTGCGGAGCGAGAGACCGAGGAGTCTCTGCAGGGCGAGCTCCCGAGAGGTGCCGGGGCTGGACTGGGGCCTCGGAAGAGCAGGATTTGCGTAGATGGGTTTGGGAAAGGACATTCCAGGAGACCCCACTGTAAGAAGGGCCTGGAGGAGGAGGGGACATCTCAGACATGGTCGTGGGAGAGGTGTGCCCGGGTCAGGGGGCACCAGGAGAGGCCAAGGACTCTGTACCTCCTATCCACGTCAGAGATTTCGATTTTAGGTTTCTCCTCTGGGCAAGGAGAGAGGGTGGAGGCTGGCACTTGGGGAGGGACTTGGTGAGGTCAGTGGTAAGGACAGGCAGGCCCTGGGTCTACCTGGAGATGGCTGGGGCCTGAGACTTGTCCAGGTGAACGCAGAGCACAGGAGGGATTGAGACCCCGTTCTGTCTGGTGTAGGTGCTGAATGCTGTCCCCGTCCTCCTGCATATCCCAGCGCTGGCTGGCAAGGTCCTACGCTTCCAAAAGGCTTTCCTGACCCAGCTGGATGAGCTGCTAACTGAGCACAGGATGACCTGGGACCCAGCCCAGCCCCCCCGAGACCTGACTGAGGCCTTCCTGGCAGAGATGGAGAAGGTGAGAGTGGCTGCCACGGTGGGGGGCAAGGGTGGTGGGTTGAGCGTCCCAGGAGGAATGAGGGGAGGCTGGGCAAAAGGTTGGACCAGTGCATCACCCGGCGAGCCGCATCTGGGCTGACAGGTGCAGAATTGGAGGTCATTTGGGGGCTACCCCGTTCTGTCCCGAGTATGCTCTCGGCCCTGCTCAGGCCAAGGGGAACCCTGAGAGCAGCTTCAATGATGAGAACCTGCGCATAGTGGTGGCTGACCTGTTCTCTGCCGGGATGGTGACCACCTCGACCACGCTGGCCTGGGGCCTCCTGCTCATGATCCTACATCCGGATGTGCAGCGTGAGCCCATCTGGGAAACAGTGCAGGGGCCGAGGGAGGAAGGGTACAGGCGGGGGCCCATGAACTTTGCTGGGACACCCGGGGCTCCAAGCACAGGCTTGACCAGGATCCTGTAAGCCTGACCTCCTCCAACATAGGAGGCAAGAAGGAGTGTCAGGGCCGGACCCCCTGGGTGCTGACCCATTGTGGGGACGCATGTCTGTCCAGGCCGTGTCCAACAGGAGATCGACGACGTGATAGGGCAGGTGCGGCGACCAGAGATGGGTGACCAGGCTCACATGCCCTACACCACTGCCGTGATTCATGAGGTGCAGCGCTTTGGGGACATCGTCCCCCTGGGTGTGACCCATATGACATCCCGTGACATCGAAGTACAGGGCTTCCGCATCCCTAAGGTAGGCCTGGCGCCCTCCTCACCCCAGCTCAGCACCAGCCCCTGGTGATAGCCCCAGCATGGCTACTGCCAGGTGGGCCCACTCTAGGAACCCTGGCCACCTAGTCCTCAATGCCACCACACTGACTGTCCCCACTTGGGTGGGGGGTCCAGAGTATAGGCAGGGCTGGCCTGTCCATCCAGAGCCCCCGTCTAGTGGGGAGACAAACCAGGACCTGCCAGAATGTTGGAGGACCCAGCGCCTGCAGGGAGAGGGGGCAGTGTGGGTGCCTCTGAGAGGTGTGACTGCGCCCTGCTGTGGGGTCGGAGAGGGTACTGTGGAGCTTCTCGGGCGCAGGACTAGTTGACAGAGTCCAGCTGTGTGCCAGGCAGTGTGTGTCCCCCGTGTGTTTGGTGGCAGGGGTCCCAGCATCCTAGAGTCCAGTCCCCACTCTCACCCTGCATCTCCTGCCCAGGGAACGACACTCATCACCAACCTGTCATCGGTGCTGAAGGATGAGGCCGTCTGGGAGAAGCCCTTCCGCTTCCACCCCGAACACTTCCTGGATGCCCAGGGCCACTTTGTGAAGCCGGAGGCCTTCCTGCCTTTCTCAGCAGGTGCCTGTGGGGAGCCCGGCTCCCTGTCCCCTTCCGTGGAGTCTTGCAGGGGTATCACCCAGGAGCCAGGCTCACTGACGCCCCTCCCCTCCCCACAGGCCGCCGTGCATGCCTCGGGGAGCCCCTGGCCCGCATGGAGCTCTTCCTCTTCTTCACCTCCCTGCTGCAGCACTTCAGCTTCTCCGTGGCCGCCGGACAGCCCCGGCCCAGCCACTCTCGTGTCGTCAGCTTTCTGGTGACCCCATCCCCCTATGAGCTTTGTGCTGTGCCCCGCTAGAATGGGGTACCTAGTCCCCAGCCTGCTCCCTAGCCAGAGGCTCTAATGTACAATAAAGCAATGTGGTAGTTCCAACTCGGGTCCCCTGCTCACGCCCTCGTTGGGATCATCCTCCTCAGGGCAACCCCACCCCTGCCTCATTCCTGCTTACCCCACCGCCTGGCCGCATTTGAGACGGGTACGTTGAGGCTGAGCAGATGTCAGTTACCCTTGCCCATAATCCCGTGTCCCCCACTGACCCAACTCTGACTGCCCAGATTGGTGACAAGGACTACATTGTCCTGGCATGTGGGGAAGGGGCCAGAATGGGCTGACTAGAGGTGTCAGTCAGCCCTGGATGTGGTGGAGAGGGCAGGACTCAGCCTGGAGGCCCATATTTCAGGCCTAACTCAGCCCACCCCACATCAGGGACAGCAGTCCTGCCAGCACCATCACAACAGTCACCTCCCTTCATATATGACACCCCAAAATGGAAGACAAATCATGTCAGGGAGCTATATGCCAGGGCTACCTCCCAGGGCTCAGTCGGCAGGTGCCAGAACATTCCCTGGGAAGGCCCCAGGAAAACCCAGGACCGAGCCACCGCCCTCAGCCTGTCACCTTGTGTCCAAAATTGGTGGGTTCTTGGTCTCACTGACTTCAAGAATGAAGCTGTGGACCCTCACGGTGAGTGTTACAGTTCTTAAAGATGGTGTGTTCAGAGTTTGTTCCTTCTGATGTTAAGACGTGTTCAGAGTTTCTTCCTTCTGGTGGGTGCGTGGTCTTGCTGGCTTCAGGAGTGAAGCTGCAGACCTTCACAGTGAGTGTTACGGCTCTTAAGGCTGCACGTACGGAGTTGTTCATTCTTCCTGGTGGGTTTGTGGTCTCACTGGCCTCAGGAGTGAAACTGCAGTCCTTCCAGTGTTACAACTCATAAAGGCAGTGTGGACCCAATGAGGGAGCAGCAGCAGCAAGACTTACTGCAAACAGCAAAAGAATGATGGCAACCAGGTTGCCGCTGCTACTTCAGGCAGCCTGCTTTTATTCCCTTATCTGACCCCCACCCACATCCTGCTGATTGGCCCATTTTACAGACAGTGGATTGGTCCACTTACAGAGAGCTGATTGGTGCATTTACAATCCCTGAGCTAGACACAGAGTACTGATTGGTATATTTACAAACCTTGAGCTAGACACAGAGTGCTGAATGGTGTATTTACAATCCCTTAGCTAGACATAAAGGTTGTCCCAGTCCCCACTAGATTAGCTAGATAGAGTAGACAGAGAGCACTGATTGGTGCGTTTACAAACCTTGAGTTAGACACAGGGTGCTGACTGGTGTGTTTACAAACCCTGAGCTAGACACAGAGTGCTGATTGGTGTATTTACAATCTTTTAGCTAGAAATAAAGGTTCCCCAAGTCCCCACCAGATTAGCTAGATACAGAGTGCTAATTGGTGCATGCACGAACCCGGAGCTAGACACAGAGTGCTGATTGGTGCATATACAATTCTCTGGCTAGACATAAAAGTTCTCCAAGTCCCCACCTGACTCAGGAGCCCAGCCAGCTTCGCCTAGTGGATCCTATGCCAGGGCCACAGGCAGAGCTGCCTGCTAGTCCCACACCAGGCACCTGTACTCCTCAGCCCTTGGGCAGTGGACGGGACCAGGTGCCGTGGAGCAGTGGGAGGCACCCATCCGGGAGGCTTGGGCCTCGCAGGGAGCCCACCGTAGGGAGGCTTGGGCATGGCAGGCTGCAAGTCCTGAGCCCTGCCCCGCGGGGAGGTGACTGAGGCCTGGCGACAATTCAAGTGTGGTGAGCGCCGGCAGGCCAGCAGTACTGGGGGACCCGGTGCCCCCTCTGCAGCTGCTGGCCCAGGTGCTAAGCCCCTCACTGCCTGGGGCCAGAGGCACCAGCCGGCCGCTCCGAGTGCAGGGCCCGCTGAGCCCCTGCCCACCCAGAACTGGTGCTGGCCCGCGAGCAACCCAGGTTCCCGCACACGCCTCTCCCTCCATACCTCCCCGCAAGCAGACGGAGCCGGCTCCAGCCTCCACCAGTCCAGAGAGGGGCTCCCACAGTGCAGCGCTGGGCTGAAGGGCTCCTCAAGTGTGGTCAGAGCAGAAGCTGAGGCCGAGGAGGCGCTGAGAGCGAGCGAGGACCGCCAGCACGTTGACACCTCTCAACCTCACCACAGGACTGGCCACCTCTCTGGGCCCTCAGGGATGCTGCTGTCTGGACCCCTGACCAGTGACGAGTTCGCACTCAGGGCCAGGCTGGCGCTGGAGGAGGACACTTGTTTGGCTCCAACCCTAGGTACCATCCTCCCAGTAGGGATCAGGCAGGGCCCACAGGCCTGCCCTAGGGACAGGAGTCAACCTTGGACCCATAAGGCACTGGGGCGGGCAGAGAAGGAGGAGGTGGCATGGGCAGCTGAGAGCCAGAGACCCTGACCCTAGTCCTTGCTCTGCCATTACCCCGTGTGACCCCGGGCCCACCCTTCCCCACCCTTCCCCACCCTTCCCCACCCCGGGCTTCTGTTTCCCTTCTGCCAACGAGAAGGCTGCTTCACCTGCCCCGAGTCCTGTCTTCCTGCTCTGCCTTCTGGGGCTGTGGCCCTTGCTGGCCTGGAGCCCCAACCAAGGGCAGGGACTGCTGTCCTCCACATCTGTCCTCACCGACATAATGGGCTGGGCTGGGCACACAGGCAGTGCCCAAGAGTTTCTAATGAGCATATGATTACCTGAGTCCTGGGCAGACCTTCTTAGGGAACAGCCTGGGACAGAGAACCACAGACACTCTGAGGAGCCACCTGAGGCCTCTTTTGCCAGAGGACCCTACAGCCTCCCTGGCAGCAGTTCCGCCAGCATTTCTGTAAATGCCCTCATGCCAGGGTGCGGCCCGGCTGTCAGCACGAGAGGGACGTTGGTCTGTCCCCTGGCACCGAGTCAGTCAGAAGGGTGGCCAGGGCCCCCTTGGGCCCCTCCAGAGACAATCCACTGTGGTCACACGGCTCGGTGGCAGGAAGTGCTGTTCCTGCAGCTGTGGGGACAGGGAGTGTGGATGAAGCCAGGCTGGGTTTGTCTGAAGACGGAGGCCCCGAAAGGTGGCAGCCTGGCCTATAGCAGCAGCAACTCTTGGATTTATTGGAAAGATTTTCTTCACGGTTCTGAGTCTTGGGGGTGTTAGAGGCTCAGAACCAGTCCAGCCAGAGCTCTGTCATGGGCACGTAGACCCGGTCCCAGGGCCTTTGCTCTTTGCTGTCCTCAGAGGCCTCTGCAAAGTAGAAACAGGCAGCCTTGTGAGTCCCCTCCTGGGAGCAACCAACCCTCCCTCTGAGATGCCCCGGGGCCAGGTCAGCTGTGGTGAAAGGTAGGGATGCAGCCAGCTCAGGGGAGTGGCCCAGAGTTCCTGCCCACCCAAGGAGGCTCCCAGGAAGGTCAAGGCACCTGACTCCTGGGCTGCTTCCCTCCCCTCCCCTCCCCAGGTCAGGAAGGTGGGAAAGGGCTGGGGTGTCTGTGACCCTGGCAGTCACTGAGAAGCAGGGTGGAAGCAGCCCCCTGCAGCACGCTGGGTCAATGGTCTTACCAGATGGATACGCAGCAACTTCCTTTTGAACCTTTTTATTTTCCTGGCAGGAAGAAGAGGGATCCAGCAGTGAGATCAGGCAGGTTCTGTGTTGCACAGACAGGGAAACAGGCTCTGTCCACACAAAGTCGGTGGGGCCAGGATGAGGCCCAGTCTGTTCACACATGGCTGCTGCCTCTCAGCTCTGCACAGACGTCCTCGCTCCCCTGGGATGGCAGCTTGGCCTGCTGGTCTTGGGGTTGAGCCAGCCTCCAGCACTGCCTCCCTGCCCTGCTGCCTCCCACTCTGCAGTGCTCCATGGCTGCTCAGTTGGACCCACGCTGGAGACGTTCAGTCGAAGCCCCGGGCTGTCCTTACCTCCCAGTCTGGGGTACCTGCCACCTCCTGCTCAGCAGGAATGGGGCTAGGTGCTTCCTCCCCTGGGGACTTCACCTGCTCTCCCTCCTGGGATAAGACGGCAGCCTCCTCCTTGGGGGCAGCAGCATTCAGTCCTCCAGGTCTCCTGGGGGTCGTGACCTGCAGGAGGAATAAGAGGGCAGACTGGGCAGAAAGGCCTTCAGAGCACCTCATCCTCCTGTTCTCACACTGGGGTGTCACAGTCCTGGGAAGTTCTTCCTTTTCAGTTGAGCTGTGGTAACCTTGTGAGTTTCCTGGAGGGGGCCTGCCACTACCCTTGGGACTCCCTGCCGTGTGTCTGGGTCTAACTGAGCTCTGAAAGGAGAGAGCCCCAGCCCTGGGCCTTCCAGGGGAAGCCTTACCTCAGAGGTTGGCTTCTTCCTACTCTTGACTTTGCGTCTCTGCAGAGGGAGGTGGGAGGGGTGACACAACCCTGACACCCACACTATGAGTGATGAGTAGTCCTGCCCCGACTGGCCCATCCTTTCCAGGTGCAGTCCCCCTTACTGTGTCTGCCAAGGGTGCCAGCACAGCCGCCCCACTCCAGGGGAAGAGGAGTGCCAGCCCTTACCCACCTGAGTGGGCACAGTGTAGCATTTATTCATTAGCCCCCACACTGGCCTGACCATCTCCCCTGTGGGCTGCATGACAAGGAGAGAGAACAGGCTGAGGTGAGAGCTACTGTCAACACCTAAACCTAAAAAATCTATAATTGGGCTGGGCAGGGTGGCTCACGCCTGTAATCCCAGCACTTTGGGAGGCCGAGATGGGTGGATCACCTGAGGTCAGATGTTCGAGACCAGCCTGGCCAACATGGTGAAACCCCGTCTCTACTAAAAATACAAAAAATTAGCTGGGCGTGGTGGTGGGTGCCTGTAATCCCAGCTACTCAGGAGGCTGAGGCAGGAGAATTGCTTGAACCTGGGAGGCAGAGGTTGCAGTGAGCCGAGATCACACCATTGCACTCCAGTCTGGGTGATAAGTATGAAACGCCATCTCCAAAACAAAAGAAAAGCCTAATTCCCCAAGAACTGTCAGTCTTTCACCTGTCTGCTAGCTCCCAGGGAGACCCCACTTGCCAGGGCTGTCTACATTTGTCCTGAGATCTCTTCTGGTGGGAACAGCACTTTCCTCAGGAAAGTTTGTTGAAAGTCATCAGATCCATGATTGAAAATCGAAGCTGCCTGTGGTGATGGATAACAGCTGGGGTTAAAAAGCAGCAGCTGGGGCATGAGCGGTCCACAGTGAGTTTTTGTTGTTGTTTTTGTTTTTTTGGGTGGGGGATGGGGTCTTGCTAGGTCTCAAACTCCTGGCCTCAAGTCATCCTCCCATTACAGCCTTCTGAGTCACTGACACTACAGGTGTGAGCCACCATGTCCAGCTTGTAGTGGTTTTGAACAGCTCTTGCCCCTTCTTGGGAATCTAGGTGCCCTGCACGTGGGTAAGGCTGTCTGCAGCTGTGCCCATATTCAGGAAGGCCGGCAAGGCCCTGAGCCCTCACCCGTGACTGACCTGAGGTGCTGTGCAGACAGCAGGTGACGGCTAAGGGAAAGTTGAGCACTGCCTAGCCGAGCACTGAAGCCACGCCCGGCACACAGAGAGAGACCCACTCGGCAAAGACTTCGCTTCCAGGCACCTAAGGAACTCTCTGACCAGTCATTAGCTGACCACTGCCGTAACTGAAGAGCGGCTTCAGTGGCCACAGCTCGCAGGGAATGGAGACATTAATGCTTAGTCAGAATTAGTTCAGAAAAGTCACCCAGCAAAGAAACAGCTCCAACAGGCAACAACAACAACACATCCTTGGCAGGGAAGAGAATCTGACTTCCGGAGTTGCCACATTATCGCCCGTGAAATGTCCAGGTTTTAACAAATTATGAGACATGGAAAGGAAACCGAAAGGACGACCCAGACACGGGAAAAGTCACCAATGGGACCAGCCCGATGCTGCAATTGCTAGACAAAGACGTTCAGTCAGCTCATTTAAATATGTTCAAAGACCTAAAACATGCTGCATCTGAGGCTGCACCGGCTGGAACCTGCTGATCTCGGAAGCTAAGCATGGTCAGGCCTGGCTAGTACTTCAAAGGGAGAAACCACGTGTAGGCCTGGTGCAGTGGCTCACACCTATAATCCTAGCACTCTGGGAAGCTGAGGCCCGTGGATTGCTTGAGCCCAGGAGTTTGAGAGCAGCTTGGGAAATGTGGTGAGACCCCCATCTCTACAAAAAATTTAAAAAATTAGCTGGCTGCCTATGGTCCCAGCCTCTCAGGATGCTGAGGTAGGAGGATCACTTCAGCCCAGGAAGTTGAGGCTGCAGTGAGCCATGACTGCATCACTGCACTCCAGCTTGGGCGACAGAGAGACCCTCTCCCAAGAAAAAGAAAAGAACCATGTCAAAAGAACTAACGAAAGTGTGGGAACAATGTCTCACCAATTAGAGAATATCAATAATGGGATGAACCTTATAAAAAGGGGCTGGGCATGGTGGCTCATGCCTATAATCCCAGCACTTTGGGAGGCTGAGGCGGGCATATCATGAGGTCAAGAGATTGAGACCAGCCTGGCCAACATGGTGAAACCCCGTCTCTACTTAAAATACAAAAATTAGCCGGGCGTGGTGGCACGTGCCTGTAATCCCAGCTACTCGGGAGGCTGAGGCAGGAGAATCGCTTGAACCCGAGAGGCAGAGATTGCAGTGAGCCGAGATTGCACCACTGCACTACAGCCTGGGTGACAGAGCGATACTCCAAAAAACAAAACAAAACAAAAAACAAAAAAAAAGTTTAAAAAGGAACCAAATAAAAATTCTGGAGTTGTAGGGTAAAATAAATGAAAATTCATCCCAGGGGCCCAAGAGCAGATTGGAACAATTGGAAGAAAGAGCCTGTGACTATGGAGAGAGGCCACCTGAGGTAGTCCCCTCTGAGGAACAGGAACAAGCATGAAGAGCAATGCACAGAGATCCAGAGACCTGGAGACGCCGTCAAGCTTTCCGACATACACACAATGGGAGTCCCAGGAAAGAAGACAGGGAGAAAGGAGTAAAGGAATAGTTGAAGAATTAATGGCTGAAAAACCTCCCAAATCTGATGAAAAATATTAATCCGTACATCCAAAAAGCTCATCAAACTCCAAGTAGGGTAAACTCAAAGAGATCTTCAGCCATACGCATCATCATAATCACTGTCAAAAGACAGATTTTTCTTTTTTTAGAATTTTAAATGTACCTTTTAATTTGCTCCTGGGGCAAAGAGCCAGGACTGGTACTAGAGCAGTGTCTGGGATGAGAAGAATTTAATAAAATGGGATTAGGTCCAATGGTTGGGTTAGGGGAGGCAACCTGCTCGGAAGGATCAGCCTCAACCTATCCATGCAGCAGGGCCTCCACCTGTCCCTCTCCGTAGTCCCACACCTGGAACCCAGAGCCATCTGCCTCTTCCCAGATCATGGCCGACAGCACTCCACCGGACTGCTGCTGGAGCAGGCACAGGATTCACTTATTGAGGGCTGTGGCCTGGCACAGATCATAGCCTATACCCAGGGACAGTTGTGTCACTTCTGCCACCACCACATCCGCCTTCTGCAGCCACATCAAGTACCACTCATGGATGAGCCCGTCACCCCCAGCGGACTTATCAACCCCGCGTCCAGCTCCACAGCCGCCACGTGCTCGGTGAGCACTGGCTCCAAGCATGGCAGCTGCCATACAATCCACCTGTAGAGGGCCCGGTCCTCCTGTCCTCAGTGGATGATCCCGTAGAAGTCCAGAGCTCGGCAGCTGCCCTCCCACAAAAGACAGGATTTTGAAAGCAGCAAGAGAGAAGAGACGTATCAGGTAGTCACAGTGGCTCAGGCCTGTAATCCCAGCACTTTGGGAGGCCCAGGTGGGAGGATCGCTTCACCCCAGGAATTCAAGACCAGCCTGGACAACTTGGAAGAACCCGGTCTCTACAAAAAATACAAAATTAGCTGGGATTGGGTGCGGTGGCTCATGCCTATAATCCCAGCACTTTGGGAGCCTGAGGTGGGTGGATCACCTGAAGTCAGGAGTTCAAGACTAGCCTGGCCAACATGGTGAAACCCTATCTCTACTGAAAATATAAAAAGCTAGACGTGGTGGCACACACCTGTAATCCCAGCTACTTAGGAGGCTGAGGCAGGAGAATTGCTTGAAGCCTAGAGGTGAAGGTTGTAGTGAGCCGAGATTGCATCATTGCACAATGGAGGGGAGCCACCAGCCTGGGCAACAAGAGGAAATCTCCGTCTCCAAAAAAAAAAAAAAAAAAAAAAAAGGATTAGGCTGGGTGGTGCCTGTAGTCCCAGCTACTTGGGAGGCAGGGGGTCCACTTGATGTCGAGACTGCAGTGAGCCATGATCCTGCCACTGCACTCCGGCCTGGGCAACAGAGTGAGACCCTGTCTAAAGAAAAAAAAAATAAAGCAACATATCCTGAACAAAGGATCCTCCATAACGTTCCCACCAGATTTCTAATCAGAAACATGGAGGCCAGAAAGCAGTGGAGGAGGACAACCCTCAGGCAGCCCGGGAGGATGTTGTCACAGGCTGGGGCAAGGGCCTTCCGGCTACCAACTGGGAGCTCTGGGAACAGCCCTGTTGCAAACAAGAAGCCATAGCCCGGCCAGAGCCCAGGAATGTGGGCTGGGCTGGGAGCAGCCTCTGGACAGGAGTGGTCCCATCCAGGAAACCTCCGGCATGGCTGGGAAGTGGGGTACTTGGTGCCGGGTCTGTATGTGTGTGTGACTGGTGTGTGTGAGAGAGAATGTGTGCCCTAAGTGTCAGTGTGAGTCTGTGTATGTGTGAATATTGTCTTTGTGTGGGTGATTTTCTGCGTGTGTAATCGTGTCCCTGCAAGTGTGAACAAGTGGACAAGTGTCTGGGAGTGGACAAGAGATCTGTGCACCATCAGGTGTGTGCATAGCGTCTGTGCATGTCAAGAGTGCAAGGTGAAGTGAAGGGACCAGGCCCATGATGCCACTCATCATCAGGAGCTCTAAGGCCCCAGGTAAGTGCCAGTGACAGATAAGGGTGCTGAAGGTCACTCTGGAGTGGGCAGGTGGGGGTAGGGAAAGGGCAAGGCCATGTTCTGGAGGAGGGGTTGTGACTACATTAGGGTGTATGAGCCTAGCTGGGAGGTGGATGGCCGGGTCCACTGAAACCCTGGTTATCCCAGAAGGCTTTGCAGGCTTCAGGAGCTTGGAGTGGGGAGAGGGGGTGACTTCTCCGACCAGGCCCCTCCACCGGCCTACCCTGGGTAAGGGCCTGGAGCAGGAAGCAGGGGCAAGAACCTCTGGAGCAGCCCATACCCGCCCTGGCCTGACTCTGCCACTGGCAGCACAGTCAACACAGCAGGTTCACTCACAGCAGAGGGCAAAGGCCATCATCAGCTCCCTTTATAAGGGAAGGGTCACGCGCTCGGTGTGCTGAGAGTGTCCTGCCTGGTCCTCTGTGCCTGGTGGGGTGGGGGTGCCAGGTGTGTCCAGAGGAGCCCATTTGGTAGTGAGGCAGGTATGGGGCTAGAAGCACTGGTGCCCCTGGCCGTGATAGTGGCCATCTTCCTGCTCCTGGTGGACCTGATGCACCGGCGCCAACGCTGGGCTGCACGCTACTCACCAGGCCCCCTGCCACTGCCCGGGCTGGGCAACCTGCTGCATGTGGACTTCCAGAACACACCATACTGCTTCGACCAGGTGAGGGAGGAGGTCCTGGAGGGCGGCAGAGGTGCTGAGGCTCCCCTACCAGAAGCAAACATGGATGGTGGGTGAAACCACAGGCTGGACCAGAAGCCAGGCTGAGAAGGGGAAGCAGGTTTGGGGGACTTCCTGGAGAAGGGCATTTATACATGGCATGAAGGACTGGATTTTCCAAAGGCCAAGGAAGAGTAGGGCAAGGGCCTGGAGGTGGAGCTGGACTTGGCAGTGGGCATGCAAGCCCATTGGGCAACATATGTTATGGAGTACAAAGTCCCTTCTGCTGACACCAGAAGGAAAGGCCTTGGGAATGGAAGATGAGTTAGTCCTGAGTGCCGTTTAAATCACGAAATCGAGGATGAAGGGGGTGCAGTGACCCGGTTCAAACCTTTTGCACTGTGGGTCCTCGGGCCTCACTGCTCACCGGCATGGACCATCATCTGGGAATGGGATGCTAACTGGGGCCTCTCGGCAATTTTGGTGACTCTTGCAAGGTCATACCTGGGTGACGCATCCAAACTGAGTTCCTCCATCACAGAAGGTGTGACCCCCACCCCCGCCCCACGATCAGGAGGCTGGGTCTCCTCCTTCCACCTGCTCACTCCTGGTAGCCCCGGGGGTCGTCCAAGGTTCAAATAGGACTAGGACCTGTAGTCTGGGGGGATCCTGGCTTGACAAGAGGCCCTGACCCTCCCTCTGCAGTTGCGGCGCCGCTTCGGGGACGTGTTCAGCCTGCAGCTGGCCTGGACGCCGGTGGTCGTGCTCAATGGGCTGGCGGCCGTGCGCGAGGCGCTGGTGACCCACGGCGAGGACACCGCCGACCGCCCGCCTGTGCCCATCACCCAGATCCTGGGTTTTGGGCCGCGTTCCCAAGGCAAGCAGCGGTGGGGACAGAGACAGATTTCCGTGGGACCCGGGTGGGTGATGACCGTAGTCCGAGCTGGGCAGAGAGGGCGCGGGGTCGTGGACATGAAACAGGCCAGCGAGTGGGGACAGCGGGCCAAGAAACCACCTGCACTAGGGAGGTGTGAGCATGGGGACGAGGGCGGGGCTTGTGACGAGTGGGCGGGGCCACTGCCGAGACCTGGCAGGAGCCCAATGGGTGAGGCTGGCGCATTTCCCAGCTGGAATCCGGTGTCGAAGTGGGGGGCGGGGACCGCACCTGTGCTGTAAGCTCAGTGTGGGTGGCGCGGGGCCCGCGGGGTCTTCCCTGAGTGCAAAGGCGGTCAGGGTGGGCAGAGACGAGGTGGGGCAAAGCCCTGCCCCAGCCAAGGGAGCAAGGTGGATGCACAAAGAGTGGGCCCTGTGACCAGCTGGACAGAGCCAGGGACTGCGGGAGACCAGGGGGAGCATAGGGTTGGAGTGGGTGGTGGATGGTGGGGCTAATGCCTTCATGGCCACGCGCACGTGCCCGTCCCACCCCCAGGGGTGTTCCTGGCGCGCTATGGGCCCGCGTGGCGCGAGCAGAGGCGCTTCTCCGTCTCCACCTTGCGCAACTTGGGCCTGGGCAAGAAGTCGCTGGAGCAGTGGGTGACCGAGGAGGCCGCCTGCCTTTGTGCCGCCTTCGCCAACCACTCCGGTGGGTGATGGGCAGAAGGGCACAAAGCGGGAACTGGGAAGGCGGGGGACGGGGAAGGCGACCCCTTACCCGCATCTCCCACCCCCAGGACGCCCCTTTCGCCCCAACGGTCTCTTGGACAAAGCCGTGAGCAACGTGATCGCCTCCCTCACCTGCGGGCGCCGCTTCGAGTACGACGACCCTCGCTTCCTCAGGCTGCTGGACCTAGCTCAGGAGGGACTGAAGGAGGAGTCGGGCTTTCTGCGCGAGGTGCGGAGCGAGAGACCGAGGAGTCTCTGCAGGGCGAGCTCCCGAGAGGTGCCGGGGCTGGACTGGGGCCTCGGAAGAGCAGGATTTGCGTAGATGGGTTTGGGAAAGGACATTCCAGGAGACCCCACTGTAAGAAGGGCCTGGAGGAGGAGGGGACATCTCAGACATGGTCGTGGGAGAGGTGTGCCCGGGTCAGGGGGCACCAGGAGAGGCCAAGGACTCTGTACCTCCTATCCACGTCAGAGATTTCGATTTTAGGTTTCTCCTCTGGGCAAGGAGAGAGGGTGGAGGCTGGCACTTGGGGAGGGACTTGGTGAGGTCAGTGGTAAGGACAGGCAGGCCCTGGGTCTACCTGGAGATGGCTGGGGCCTGAGACTTGTCCAGGTGAACGCAGAGCACAGGAGGGATTGAGACCCCGTTCTGTCTGGTGTAGGTGCTGAATGCTGTCCCCGTCCTCCTGCATATCCCAGCGCTGGCTGGCAAGGTCCTACGCTTCCAAAAGGCTTTCCTGACCCAGCTGGATGAGCTGCTAACTGAGCACAGGATGACCTGGGACCCAGCCCAGCCCCCCCGAGACCTGACTGAGGCCTTCCTGGCAGAGATGGAGAAGGTGAGAGTGGCTGCCACGGTGGGGGGCAAGGGTGGTGGGTTGAGCGTCCCAGGAGGAATGAGGGGAGGCTGGGCAAAAGGTTGGACCAGTGCATCACCCGGCGAGCCGCATCTGGGCTGACAGGTGCAGAATTGGAGGTCATTTGGGGGCTACCCCGTTCTGTCCCGAGTATGCTCTCGGCCCTGCTCAGGCCAAGGGGAACCCTGAGAGCAGCTTCAATGATGAGAACCTGCGCATAGTGGTGGCTGACCTGTTCTCTGCCGGGATGGTGACCACCTCGACCACGCTGGCCTGGGGCCTCCTGCTCATGATCCTACATCCGGATGTGCAGCGTGAGCCCATCTGGGAAACAGTGCAGGGGCCGAGGGAGGAAGGGTACAGGCGGGGGCCCATGAACTTTGCTGGGACACCCGGGGCTCCAAGCACAGGCTTGACCAGGATCCTGTAAGCCTGACCTCCTCCAACATAGGAGGCAAGAAGGAGTGTCAGGGCCGGACCCCCTGGGTGCTGACCCATTGTGGGGACGCATGTCTGTCCAGGCCGTGTCCAACAGGAGATCGACGACGTGATAGGGCAGGTGCGGCGACCAGAGATGGGTGACCAGGCTCACATGCCCTACACCACTGCCGTGATTCATGAGGTGCAGCGCTTTGGGGACATCGTCCCCCTGGGTGTGACCCATATGACATCCCGTGACATCGAAGTACAGGGCTTCCGCATCCCTAAGGTAGGCCTGGCGCCCTCCTCACCCCAGCTCAGCACCAGCCCCTGGTGATAGCCCCAGCATGGCTACTGCCAGGTGGGCCCACTCTAGGAACCCTGGCCACCTAGTCCTCAATGCCACCACACTGACTGTCCCCACTTGGGTGGGGGGTCCAGAGTATAGGCAGGGCTGGCCTGTCCATCCAGAGCCCCCGTCTAGTGGGGAGACAAACCAGGACCTGCCAGAATGTTGGAGGACCCAGCGCCTGCAGGGAGAGGGGGCAGTGTGGGTGCCTCTGAGAGGTGTGACTGCGCCCTGCTGTGGGGTCGGAGAGGGTACTGTGGAGCTTCTCGGGCGCAGGACTAGTTGACAGAGTCCAGCTGTGTGCCAGGCAGTGTGTGTCCCCCGTGTGTTTGGTGGCAGGGGTCCCAGCATCCTAGAGTCCAGTCCCCACTCTCACCCTGCATCTCCTGCCCAGGGAACGACACTCATCACCAACCTGTCATCGGTGCTGAAGGATGAGGCCGTCTGGGAGAAGCCCTTCCGCTTCCACCCCGAACACTTCCTGGATGCCCAGGGCCACTTTGTGAAGCCGGAGGCCTTCCTGCCTTTCTCAGCAGGTGCCTGTGGGGAGCCCGGCTCCCTGTCCCCTTCCGTGGAGTCTTGCAGGGGTATCACCCAGGAGCCAGGCTCACTGACGCCCCTCCCCTCCCCACAGGCCGCCGTGCATGCCTCGGGGAGCCCCTGGCCCGCATGGAGCTCTTCCTCTTCTTCACCTCCCTGCTGCAGCACTTCAGCTTCTCGGTGCCCACTGGACAGCCCCGGCCCAGCCACCATGGTGTCTTTGCTTTCCTGGTGACCCCATCCCCCTATGAGCTTTGTGCTGTGCCCCGCTAGAATGGGGTACCTAGTCCCCAGCCTGCTCCCTAGCCAGAGGCTCTAATGTACAATAAAGCAATGTGGTAGTTCCAACTCGGGTCCCCTGCTCACGCCCTCGTTGGGATCATCCTCCTCAGGGCAACCCCACCCCTGCCTCATTCCTGCTTACCCCACCGCCTGGCCGCATTTGAGACAGGGGTATGTTGAGGCTGAGCAGATGTCAGTTACCCTTGCCCATAATCCCATGTCCCCCACTGACCCAACTCTGACTGCCCAGATTGGTGACAAGGACTACATTGTCCTGGCATGTGGGGAAGGGGCCAGAATGGGCTGACTAGAGGTGTCAGTCAGCCCTGGATGTGGTGGAGAGGGCAGGACTCAGCCTGGAGGCCCATATTTCAGGCCTAACTCAGCCCACCCCACATCAGGGACAGCAGTCCTGCCAGCACCATCACAACAGTCACCTCCCTTCATATATGACACCCCAAAACGGAAGACAAATCATGGCGTCAGGGAGCTATAGGCCAGGGCTACCTACCTCCCAGGGCTCAGTCGGCAGGTGCCAGAACGTTCCCTGGGAAGGCCCCATGGAAGCCCAGGACTGAGCCACCGCCCTCAGCCTCGTCACCTCACCACAGGACTGGCTACCTCTCTGGGCCCTCAGGGACGCTGCTGTACAGACCCCTGACCAGTGACGAGTTCGCACTCAGGGCCAGGCTGGCGCTGGAGGAGGACACTTGTTTGGCTCCAACCCTAGGTACCATCCTCCCAGTAGGGATCAGGCAGGGCCCACAGGCCTGCCCTAGGGACAGGAGTCAACCTTGGACCCATAAGGCACTGGGGCGGGCAGAGAAGGAGGAGGTGGCATGGGCAGCTGAGAGCCAGAGACCCTGACCCTAGTCCTTGCTCTGCCATTACCCCGTGTGACCCCGGGCCCACCCTTCCCCACCCTTCCCCACCCTTCCCCACCCCGGGCTTCTGTTTCCCTTCTGCCAACGAGAAGGCTGCTTCACCTGCCCTGAGTCCTGTCTTCCTGCTCTGCCTTCTGGGGCTGTGGCCCTTGCTGGCCTGGAGCCCCAACCAAGGGCAGGGACTGCTGTCCTCCACGTCTGTCCTCACCGACATAATGGGCTGGGCTGGGCACACAGGCAGTGCCCAAGAGTTTCTAATGAGCATATGATTACCTGAGTCCTGGGCAGACCTTCTTAGGGAACAGCCTGGGACAGAGAACCACAGACACTCTGAGGAGCCACCTGAGGCCTCTTTTGCCAGAGGACCCTACAGCCTCCCTGGCAGCAGTTCCGCCAGCATTTCTGTAAATGCCCTCATGCCAGGGTGCGGCCCGGCTGTCAGCACGAGAGGGACGTTGGTCTGTCCCCTGGCACCGAGTCAGTCAGAAGGGTGGCCAGGGCCCCCTTGGGCCCCTCCAGAGACAATCCACTGTGGTCACACGGCTCGGTGGCAGGAAGTGCTGTTCCTGCAGCTGTGGGGACAGGGAGTGTGGATGAAGCCAGGCTGGGTTTGTCTGAAGACGGAGGCCCCGAAAGGTGGCAGCCTGGCCTATAGCAGCAGCAACTCTTGGATTTATTGGAAAGATTTTCTTCACGGTTCTGAGTCTTGGGGGTGTTAGAGGCTCAGAACCAGTCCAGCCAGAGCTCTGTCATGGGCACGTAGACCCGGTCCCAGGGCCTTTGCTCTTTGCTGTCCTCAGAGGCCTCTGCAAAGTAGAAACAGGCAGCCTTGTGAGTCCCCTCCTGGGAGCAACCAACCCTCCCTCTGAGATGCCCCGGGGCCAGGTCAGCTGTGGTGAAAGGTAGGGATGCAGCCAGCTCAGGGGAGTGGCCCAGAGTTCCTGCCCACCCAAGGAGGCTCCCAGGAAGGTCAAGGCACCTGACTCCTGGGCTGCTTCCCTCCCCTCCCCTCCCCAGGTCAGGAAGGTGGGAAAGGGCTGGGGTGTCTGTGACCCTGGCAGTCACTGAGAAGCAGGGTGGAAGCAGCCCCCTGCAGCACGCTGGGTCAGTGGTCTTACCAGATGGATACGCAGCAACTTCCTTTTGAACCTTTTTATTTTCCTGGCAGGAAGAAGAGGGATCCAGCAGTGAGATCAGGCAGGTTCTGTGTTGCACAGACAGGGAAACAGGCTCTGTCCACACAAAGTCGGTGGGCCAGGATGAGGCCCAGTCTGTTCACACATGGCTGCTGCCTCTCAGCTCTGCACAGACGTCCTCGCTCCCCTGGGATGGCAGCTTGGCCTGCTGGTCTTGGGGTTGAGCCAGCCTCCAGCACTGCCTCCCTGCCCTGCTGCCTCCCACTCTGCAGTGCTCCATGGCTGCTCAGTTGGACCCACGCTGGAGACGTTCAGTCGAAGCCCCGGGCTGTCCTTACCTCCCAGTCTGGGGTACCTGCCACCTCCTGCTCAGCAGGAATGGGGCTAGGTGCTTCCTCCCCTGGGGACTTCACCTGCTCTCCCTCCTGGGATAAGACGGCAGCCTCCTCCTTGGGGGCAGCAGCATTCAGTCCTCCAGGTCTCCTGGGGGTCGTGACCTGCAGGAGGAATAAGAGGGCAGACTGGGCAGAAAGGCCTTCAGAGCACCTCATCCTCCTGTTCTCACACTGGGGTGTCACAGTCCTGGGAAGTTCTTCCTTTTCAGTTGAGCTGTGGTAACCTTGTGAGTTTCCTGGAGGGGGCCTGCCACTACCCTTGGGACTCCCTGCCGTGTGTCTGGGTCTAACTGAGCTCTGAAAGGAGAGAGCCCCAGCCCTGGGCCTTCCAGGGGAAGCCTTACCTCAGAGGTTGGCTTCTTCCTACTCTTGACTTTGCGTCTCTGCAGAGGGAGGTGGGAGGGGTGACACAACCCTGACACCCACACTATGAGTGATGAGTAGTCCTGCCCCGACTGGCCCATCCTTTCCAGGTGCAGTCCCCCTTACTGTGTCTGCCAAGGGTGCCAGCACAGCCGCCCCACTCCAGGGGAAGAGGAGTGCCAGCCCTTACCCACCTGAGTGGGCACAGTGTAGCATTTATTCATTAGCCCCCACACTGGCCTGACCATCTCCCCTGTGGGCTGCATGACAAGGAGAGAGAACAGGCTGAGGTGAGAGCTACTGTCAACACCTAAACCTAAAAAATCTATAATTGGGCTGGGCAGGGTGGCTCACGCCTGTAATCCCAGCACTTTGGGAGGCCGAGATGGGTGGATCACCTGAGGTCAGATGTTCGAGACCAGCCTGGCCAACATGGTGAAACCCCGTCTCTACTAAAAATACAAAAAATTAGCTGGGCGTGGTGGTGGGTGCCTGTAATCCCAGCTACTCAGGAGGCTGAGGCAGGAGAATTGCTTGAACCTGGGAGACAGAGGCTGCAGTGAGCCGAGATCGCATCATTGCACTCCAGCCTGGTCAACAAGAGTGAAACTGTCTTAAAAAAAAAATCTATAATTGATATCTTTAGAAAGATAAAACTTTGCATTCATGAAATAAGAATAGGAGGGTCTAAAATAAAAATGTTCAAACACCCACCACCACTAATTCTTGACAAAAATATAGTCTGGGTGCCTTAGCTCATGCCTGTAATCCCAGCATTTTGGGAGGCTAAGGCAGGAGGATTGTTTGAGCCTAGGAATTCAACACCAGCCTGGGCCACCTAAGGAGACCCCATCTCTACAAAAAATTAAAATACTGGCTGGGTGTGGTGGCACACACCTGTAGTTCCAGCTGCTTGGGAGGCTGAGGTGGGAGGATCACTTGAGTCCAGGAACAAAGCTGCAGTGAACTGTGATCGTGCCACTGCACTCCAGCCTGGGCAACAGAGAAAGACCTTGCCTTAAAAATAAAAAATATAATAATAGGAATGCAAAATCTAATCAAAGTATAGAAGCTAAACTTGAAAAAAATATTTTCCAGAAAGAACAGAGAAGAGGTCAGGAGCTCCAACAGCTAAATTGTTGTTTAGATGTTTCTGAAACAGGCAGCAGAGACAACAGACTAGGAGGCAAGGAAAGATGTCTAATAAATACGTTTCTTTTTTGTCAAGACAAGTTCTCACAGAGGAAGAACATGAGTTTCCAGTAGAGAAGGAAACACCAAGTGTTCATGACAATGAATGAAGGGGACCCAGCCCCAATTTTGTTGTCAAGAAATTTCACAACACTGAGGACAGAGTGGAACCCAAAAACTTCCAGAGAGAAAAAAGTCTGAGCTTCAGGAATTCAACATTCATCAGACTTCTCAACACCAACCTTTGAAGCTATAAGATAATGAAGACCTTCAAAATCTGAGAGAAAATATTTCCAATCTAGAATTCTATACCTAGCCAAATGCTATGCAAGTATGAATTGAGGTCTTTTCGGATACATAAATGTCTCAAGACTACCCCTCAGGAAGCAACCGGAGGTTGTACTTCACTAAAATAAAGGAGAAATAGAAAAGAAGATAACATGGGACCCAGCACAACAGGCAGGGAGAGCCCCTGAGCATAAGGGTGAATGGGGAGCTCAGGAGGACAGCTGGGCAGCAGACCTCCAGGGTGCCCCATCCAGATGGAATCAGGGAGATGGAGGGCTCCTGAGGTATGTCTCCATGAAAATGATCATATGGAGAAATGACCTGATCTGTCTAAATGTACTGCAAAGAGATTTCTATTTTTGGCAGAAAATTTGGATGAATTAATTATTTAATAGATGCACAAAAAACTAAAGAAAGAGAAGAAGAAAAACTAAAATCATGACTCAACTGGGACTACTGTCTACATTTTTTGTTTTGAGAAAGAGTCTTGCTCTGTTGCCCAGACTGGAGTGCAGTGATCACGTTTCATTGCAGCCTCCACAACCTGTGCTCAAGTAAGTGACTCTCTTACCTCAGCCTCCTTAGTAGCTGGGATCACAGGGCACCACCACACTCAGCTAATTTTTTTTTTTAAATAGACAGTGTCTCCCAATGTTGTCCAGGCTGGTCTCGAACTCCTGGACTCAAGCGATCCTCCCATGTTGACCTCTCAAGTAGTTGGGATTACAGTCATGAGCCACTGTGCCTGACCTAGCTAATTTTTTTCTGATTTATTTATTTATTTTTTGTACAGAGTCTCACTATGTTGACCAGGCTGGCCTGGAACTTCTGAGCTCAAGAGATCCTCCTGCCTTCGCCTCCCAAAGTGCAGAGATTATAGGTGTAAACTATCACGCCTGGCCTGTTTACATAGTTTAATAATGTAAATCTTCAATACCGATCTAATAAAAATTGAAATATGCCTTTTAGAATGGCTTTCAAAGATAACAAATGCTGGAGAGGATGTAGAACAACTGGAACCTCTCGGTTATTGCTGGTGAGACAGCCGCTTTGAAAAAGTTTGAGTTTCTTACAAAATTAAACTTACACTTACACTTACCATATGACCCAAAAATTCCACTGCTTGCTCTTTACTCAAGTATAAGGAAAATCTATGTACACACAAAACTTGTACGTGAATATTTATTAATAGTCATTTTATGCCCCAAACTAGAAATAGTCCAAATGTTCTGGAACATCCATACAACGGACCACCACTCAATAAAAGGAACAAACTACGGATACACGTGACTAGATGAATCTCAAATGCTTTGTGCTAAGTAAAATAAACCAGACTGAAAAGGCTACCATACGTTTCCATTTATATGACAATCTTGCAAAGTCAAAACCACAGGAACAGGAAACTGTTCACTGATTGCCAGGGTGTGGGAGTAGGAGGAAGGGCTGACTACAGGTGACTATGGAGGATTTTTTTTTTTCTGAGACGGAGTCTCTGTCGCCCAGGCTGGAGTGTACTGGCACGATCTCGGCTCACTGCAACATCCACCTCCTGGGTTTAAGGTATTTTTAGTAGAGACGGGGTTTCACTATGTTGGCCAGGCTGGTCTCAAACTCCTGACCTCAGGTGATCCACCCGCTTCGGCCTCCCAAAGTGCTGGGATTATAGGCGTGAGCCACCGAGGCCAGCCACTTTTTTTTTTTTTTAAAGACAGAGTCTTGCTGTGTCACTCAGGCTGGAGTGCAGTGGCGTGATCCCAGCTCACTGCAGCCTTAACATCCTGCACTCAAGTGATCCTTCTACCTCAGCTTCCTGAGTAGCTGGGACCACAGGCACACCTCACCACACCCAGCTAATTTTTAATTTTTTTGTAGAGACAGGGTCTATGTTGCCCAGGCTGGTCTTGAACTCCTGGGCTCCACCAATCCTGCCTTGCCCTCCTCACAATGCCCGGGCCCTTAGATTCTCTCTTTAACCTCTAACTCCACCCCGTCTTCCTCACTTTCAGCAGAGAGCATAGGCACCATCAGATGGGCATTTCCTCAACTTGCTGCCACCAAACCCATTCACTCACCGGCTTCTCATAGGCCATTTCCTCTTCCAGGGGAGGAGGGGAGGAGGCTCCCCTCCCTCTCCAAAGCTAGCCCTACTCCTGTGCCCCATTTCATCTGGTCTTCTCACCTGGGCATTTGGAGATCTCGTCTCACCTCAATATTCTCCTTTTCCTTTTTTCTGGCTCCTTCCATCAGCATCTAAACACATTGCTGATCTCTTCTATTAAAAAGAAAAAAGCCCTTCTCCCTTGAACCCATATTCCTTCTCCAGCTAGCGTCCTGACCCCTACCCTTCACACCAGTCTCCTGAGAGCGGTGTTGGCAGGGGGGTGTGTTTACTGCTTTCTACCTCTCCCGCGCTCCACAACCCACTTCAACCTGCATCTGTCTCCATAAGCCTCTGAAACCCCTCTCACTGAGGTCACCAGTACGCTCCTAGTCACCAAACCCAGATGACTCTTTCCTTTTTTTCTTTTTTTTTTTTTTTTTTTTTTTTTTTGAGACGGAGTCTCGCTCTGTCGCCCAGGCTGGAGTGCAGTGGCGTGATCTCGGCTCACTGCAAGCTCCGCCTCCCGGGTTCACACCATTCTCTTGCTTCAGCCTCCCGAGTAGCTGAGACTACAGGCGGCCCGCCACGAGGCCCAGCTAATTTTTTTGTATTTACTAGCAGAGGCGGGGTTTCCCCATGTTAGCCAGGATGGTCCTGATCTCCTGACCTCGTGATCCGCCTGCCTCGGTCTTCCAAAGTGCTGGGATTACAGGCATGAGCCACTGCACCCGGCCCCAGCTGACCCTTTCTTTAACGACCTCGCCTTTTCTCTTGGCTGCTTGACCTCTCATGCTCTGGTTTTCCTCCTGCCTCCCACTCCTCTCTCTCTCTATCTCTCAGTCTCTATCTCTGTCTCTCTTTCTGTCTCTGCCTCTCTCAGTCTCTATTTCTGTCTCTGCCTCTCTCTGTGTATCTCTATCTGTCTCTCTCTCTGTATCTCTGTCTCTCTCTGTATCTCTAGCTCTGTCTCTATCTCTGTCTCTGTCTCTGTCTATCTCTCTGTATCTCTAACTCTGTCTCTGTATCTGTTTCTGTCTCTCTATCTCTCTTTGTCTCTCTGTCTCTCTCTGCCTAAATCTCAGTGTCAAGTGTTGCTCCATGTCCTGCTGACGACAAAGACTCTGAACTTCCACCTCAGACACTCACTTCTAGGCCTTTGCATGTGCTGTTATCTACCTAGAATGTGTTTCTCCATGGCTTTCAGGAGGGCTCCCCTGACTACCTGAGTTCACGTGGGGTGGCCCTCCTCAGTGCTCTTAGGGTACTGTACTGTCCCCTGACTGAGGGACCACTTTAGGTCCGTCCACTGTCAAACCCCCAGTAGCTGCCCCTATGCGTGGGACACAGCAAGAGCTAAGTAACCAAATGAATGATTACATGGCTGTGGTTCATCCTAGTGCTTAAAGCCATGATCAGAGTTGAAAAGTTGCTGTATCTTATTCAGATTTCTACTAGCAACATATTCAATAGTAAGCTTTGTTAGTCATCTATAACCCGGTGTAAGTGAAGTTATCAGGTCTTTTTCTGGGAGGAGGTTTAGAGGAGGAAAGGAGAGAGAATGAGTCCTAAAGGAGAGAAGAGGAGTAGAAGGGGCATGTCAAGTAGAAAAGGATGTAGAAAAGGTAGGCTTGGGGTAAAAAGATAATTTTCACCTGCTTGGGTGGTTTATTGAGGGCAGCCTTTTAGGCCTGCTTACCAAAGAGGCCAGTCTTGATGACGCTAGAAATTTGCAGATAATCCTTTTACCATATCAGTGTCAGGCAGCTTATCCACCTCCTCTTGGGCTCTATGACCAAACCCAAGAAGAGCACTGAGGCCCAGCTAAGTCTGGGAGTTCAGTGCACAGGCCCCCCCTTTCGCACAGAGAGTGGTGTCTATGTGTGACATCGTGTCTTAGGGGGGCTTTATGACAGGACAACCTCTTCAACCTTGGCCAGAACAGCTTGTCAAATGCCTCGGGGTGGCTTTAAATCCCCAGTAGTGAGAGACAGCCCCTTTGTACATATCTCATTGTTTCAATTCAGCACAAACAGTGCTGACTGAGCAGCTACAATGTGCCAAGCTCTGTGTGAAGACCCATAGAGACACAAAGATGCAAAAGTGTGTAAGACTCAGTATTTTTTTTTTGTCTTTAAGACTGAGTCTTGATCTGTTGCCCAGGCTGGAGTGCAGTGGCATGATCATGGCTCACTGCAACCTCCACCTCTCAGGTTCAAGAGATTCTCATGCCTCAGGCTACCGAGTGGCTGGGATTACAGGTGTGCATCACCATGCCCAGCTAATTTTTTTGTATTTTTAGTAAAGACAGGGTCTTGTCATGTTGGCCAGGCTGGTCTCAAACTCCTGGCGTCAAGTGATCCACCCGCCTCGGCCTCCCAAAGTATTGAGATTACAGGCGTAAGCCACTGCACCCAGCCAAGACTCAGTCTTACTGCATAACACAATAAGCATATTTTCTAAATCCAAAACAAGAACACAGCCTAACAATTGAATGTCATCTATTCATTCATTCAACCAGTGTCTGCTGAGCTTCCATTTTGGTCCAAGCATTATGCTGAGAGGATCAAAGGTAAACAGGACATACAGCCTACCCTTGAGGAGCTCAAAGACTTCAAACAGACATTTTATGGTTCAAGACAATAACTTCTACCTTCCTGCAAATTTCTGTAAATGTAACAATAATTACAAATCTATGGGTGGTTGAAACTGAGGGATGGATGCCTCAGTTTCACATACACATGAAACATTCACCAAGATAGGCCATATTCTGGACCACGAAACAAATCTCAATGGATTTTAAATTTATTTCAAGTATGTCCTTCAAACACTGTGGAATTAAAAATTACAAATCAGTAACAGATTCCCAGAAAGAGTCTGAGCTCAGACTCACCTAACCCTGCCCCAACCTGACAGTATTTCTCTACCCGCCCTGGTAGCTGATCACAAAAGCCATAAACTCTTGGGAGCTTTATGGCCCTGTCCATCACCTGAGAAATCCTAATACTTATCCTGGCCAACTTAGGGCAAGCTTATATCCCCCTTCCAGTATTGCAGCTGGTGTTCTCTTGAAAGCGCCACCTCCTGGCTGGAGGCCAACCAAGTCAGGACATTACAGCAACTCACAACAGAATAACCCTGCTCCAAGAAATGAGAAACAGCTAATTCCACTGCTTTCAACATCCTGGCTAACCAGAGCTCCTGAGTCTGTCCACGTGACAACTTCACTGCTAGCATAACCAGCATTTGAGAAAGCCAGCACAGTAAACAAAACTACAAGCAAGGACTCTCACACTCACAGTCTACTTTACTCCCCTCCCACCTCCACCAGGGCAGGTGCTGGTGTCCATGGCCAGGAGAGCTAAAGACGGATCACATCACAGGACTCTTTGCAGACATTCCTCAGCACCAGCCTGGAACCTGGTAGCCCCACTGGGTGGCTGGACCCAGAAGAGCAATAGCAATCACTACAGTCTGGCTCTCACGAAGCTCCATCCCTAGGGGAAGTGAGAATGCATCACATCAAGGGGTCACTTTGTGGGACAAAAGAATCTGAACAGTAGCCCCTGAGTTCCAGATTTTTCCCCTGAAATAGTCTACCCAAGTGAGAAGAAATCAGAAAAATTGTAATATGACAAAACAAGGTTCTATAACACCTCCAAAAGACCATACTGGCTCCCCAGCAATGAATGCAAATCAAGAAGAAATCTCTGAATTGCCAGATAAACAATTCAGATGGTTGATTATTAAACTACTCAAGGAGAGACCAGAGAAAAGTGAAAACAAAGAAATGTAAAAAACAATACAGGCTATGGATTGGCCAGGCGCAGTGGCTCACACCTGTAAACCCAGCACTTTGGAAGGCTGAGGCGGGCTGATCACTTGAGGTCAGGAGTTTCAGACCAGCCTGGCCAACACAGTGAAACCCCATCTCTACTAAAAATACAAAAATCAGCCAGGCATGGTGGTGCGTGCCTGTAATACCAGCTATTTGGGAGACTGAGGCAGGGGGATTGCGTGAACCCAGGAGCCAGAGGTTGCAGTGAGCTGAGATTGCACCACTGCACTGTGAGCAACAGAGTGCTCAGAGTCTCAAAAAGGAAAGAAAGAAAGAAAGAAAAAGACAACAAAAAAAATACAGGCTATGGATGAAAAATTCTCCAGAGAAACAGATATTATAAAGAAAAAAAAATCACAATTTCTGCAAATGGAAGACACACTTAAAGAAATAAAAAATGCACTGGAAAGTGTCAACAACAGACTAGAACAAGTATGTAGGATACAATAAAATTCCTCTTCAAAGGTTTAGCCTGTTAACTTCCTTGTTCTTTGTTCTCAAACTCAACTTTCTTGTTCTCTATGCCTCCTTGTCCGTAGTTACTGTAACTGTAAACAACCTTCCTGTCAGTTCTAATCAATAACTCACATCTGTTCCCTTGGTTACCCACTCTTCACCCCTTCCTCCCTTAGAAACCGCACGTCCCACCACTGTAACTCACATTTCCCTTCCCTTCCTTATTTGGGAAAGTATTCACAAATAGCCAGTCGGGTCAGTTTAGATTGTGCAGTCCAACCACAGCCCATGAAGGAGTGACACAGAGGGAGGGATTGCATTAGGAATAAAAACCCCTGCTTTCCTTTGTTCAGTGTGCTCTTGCAATCGTGATTGACACAAGCAGCACCCTTCTGCAGAAGTAAACTGCCTTGCTGAGAAAACTTTCGCCTCAGTGCTGGTTTCACTTTGCAGCACTGAGCATTTATCTCCAACAAATCTGGGGCTCATCCAGGATTCCCATTCTCCTCCAGGGAAGGGGTCTCTGGTCACCTCTCATAAGGAGACGCATCCCACTGCCTCGTTGCGGTGGCCTCAGGGTGAGGGATCGGAACCCACCCGGTGTGACGAATAAATCCGGACTCTCAGCAATGTGGGGAAAAAAAGGCTTGCAACACCATGGTGACCAGGTAACTTTGTGCACAGACCAAGGTAAGAAACGTCACAGGGGTGACAAAGCATTTCCTTGGTGGTCAAGATATTCTGGAGATTGAAAGTGTGTATGAATGATCACAAGCATTACTGCTTGCGGTGCTGCTTGTGTGAATGGTACTAAGCACTACTGCTGTGCGGAATGAGTGTGTCCTATCTGAGGTTCCATGGTCACCTCATATGGCTTAGGACAGATCCTGCCATGGGGTTTATATGGGCGTGCCAAAGGTAAGAGGGACCTAAATTCCCCTCCGGGAAGCGACCAGAGTGGACGAAGCAAAAGAAGGGTGCAAGGAGCCTCCAGCAGGTGGGGCTAAAGGATAGAAATCTCTAGTATGAGGAATTGAGCCTCAATAAGCCTCCAGAAAAGGAGAGGCAAGAAATCTCTAATACGAGGGATTGAGCCTCAGCAAGCCTCCAGAAAAGGATAGGCAAGAAATCTCTAATATGAGGGACTGAGCCTAACTAGGACCCAACATGGGAAACACCCCAAGCAGGACACGGAGTAAAAAGGATAAAGACAGCAATAAAGATATTCCTGCTGTTAGTCCCCTAGGTCTCATGTTAAAATATTGGAAAGATAATGAGAGAACTAAACATAAGAAAAAGCAACAAATGACAAACAATTGCTGTTTTATTTGGACTCAGGGACCCATCCTCAAACCCTCAATCTTTTGGTCAAAGTTTGGGTTGAACAAGGATGTGATGTGTCAACTTCTAATTCAATATGTAAATGATAAAAGTCCAGTTTCTCAAGAAGAATTGGCCTATGCTCTTTGTTGGAGGCAGGG